>NC_000006.12:98707153-98858668 GCF_000001405.40 Homo sapiens | reverse complement strand
GGAATAAAGATTTGGGCCACCCAAGCAGGTTAAGAACTATAATCAGCTGAGATGCTTGCTGAAAGCAATGGGAATATAGAATGGGTTAGTGGAATAAGGTAGTTATGAATACTAGCTATGACCACATGACCAGTTACAGAAATGAGGACTGTAACTGTCATGTCTATTTCCTCATATTGTTTTGAATATGTGTATGTGTAGCAAACATCTGTGTTTTCTTTCCCCTGTTATCTCTCTATCATGTAATATAAGATGTATTGACTTTATGTCATAGTATTTAAGTAGTGTTAACTTTATAGCATTTAGGTTATGGGATGTGGAGAAGAGAAAACATCATCCAAGGACTTTGCATCCTTTTCTGAGGAAAGGTTGTATTTTTGGTTGTACATAGGGTAGTTGTATCATTTTAGGTGGAAGTATGATGATATAGTTTGGATGTCTGTCTCCACCTAAATCTCATGTTGAATTGTAATCCTCAGTGCTGGAGGTGGGGCCTGATGGGAGGTGTTTGGGTCATGGAAGCAGATCCCTCATGGCTTGGTACTGTTTTCACGATAATGAGTGAGTTCTCTTGAGATCTGGTCATTTAAAAGTATGTGGCACCTCTCCTACCCCACCTCTCTCTCTCGCTCCTGCTTTTGCCCTGTGAAATGCCTGCTCCTACTTTGCCTTCCATCATGATTAAAAGCTGCCTGCCTGAGGCCTCACCAGAAGCCAAGTGATGTTAGTGCCATGCTTGTACAGCCTGCAGAACTGTGAGCCAGTTAAACCTCTTTTCTTTTATTCAGTTACCGGTATTTCTTTACAGCAACACAAGAACAGCCTAATATATATGACTTTGTTATTGTCTTTATATGATGATTAAGTGTGGTTCAAGGAGATGCATATGGGTGCCATCTTGGCAAGGAGTGGACTTGTGATGGTTAATTTCATCTGTCAACTTGGCTGGACCATAGGATGCCCAGATAATTAGTCAAACATTATTCTGGGTGTTTCTGTGAGGGTATTTTGGATGAGAGTAACATTTAAATTGGTGGACTTTGTGTAAAGCAGATTGCCCTCCGTAATGTGGGTGGGCCTCATTTAATCATTTGAAGGCCTGCAGAGAGCAAAAAGACTGCCCTCCCTAATGCAAGACAGAATTTCTCCATCAGCCTGCCTTTGGACTTCACTGAGACTTTTGACTCTTCCTGGTTCTACCACAGACTGCCTTCACATGCAAATTGGGATGCTGGCTCTCCAAACTGCTGGCCTTCAGACTGGAACTTCAGAGCATCAGCTCTCCTGGGTCTCCAGCCCACCAGCCTTCCCTAAAGATTTTGTACTTGCCAGCCTTCATAATCACAGGAGCCAATTCCTATAATAAATCTCTTTCTCTGTGTGTACACATTCTATTGGTTCTGAATAACTAATATTCTTCCCAATAAAGCCAAAAATGCTAGTGACCTACAAATTATATACAGGAAAAGAAAGATATTTTATTAACTGGATTCAAAACACTTTACAGGTACTAAAGGCCATGACTCAGAGCTAACAGAAGTTTGCATTATATACACTTTATCTGAGAGATCTAGTCATTCATTGGGTGTTAAGTGTGTAGACTTTTCTATTTCCATGCTCTTGCCTGCCTTATAAACGTCTACTTAATCTTTATAATAAACACCATTTTTGTAGGACTTTTGCTTAAGAATATTTAAGTTAAATATTTTATCACTGCATTTTAAAAAACTCTGTAAGCTAACATAACACTGATACACAAATCTACTTTGAACTTTCATTTATTACCAATAATGGTAATTTAGTTTCTTTTTTTATAAAATGTTTTTGATGCATTCAGCACTACCTAATATATGTAAGCTGAATACAAGCTAGGAAGCAAAATAAAAATTACATTAAATATCTTGCTACTACATTCATTAAATCAATTATATATGATCCTGGGCTACAGAAAAAATTACAAAATTATGAAATATGTTTTGAAAATAATCTCAGAAACTTGTGAGATATTGAGGCTCTGTAGAACAGTTTACAAAACAAAATGCAAGAAATTATGTATAGCATTCGTAGGCTTCTTATAAGAAAAAAAAGCAATTTTTGAAGTTCCTTCAAGGACAAAAGATAATGGATGTTTTTATAGTTTGCATCTGGACTAACTCTATTAGCATCATTAGTGGTAATGTATTCCAGAAGCCATTTAATGTAATGATGCAGATAATATTTTTTTCATTAAGAATGTTGTGGAATTTCAAATAACATTTTTAAGATGAAATATTTTAATATTTTAAGAGCAGTTTTCTCAAAAGATCTATTAACCTATATAGAAAGAAATAGGAAAACTGTAGGTTAAGAGACTACTAAAAATCTTCACTTTTGTAACTCACCTACGAATTGGTACAACCAATAAGTTGCTAAGACAGAAAGGAAAAAGTTCCTTTACTTTTATGTCTTAGCCTAGAGATGTTTAAAATATAAGCATTATCATATTAAAAGTACGTTAATTATCATGCACATGATTCTTAATTCCTTTTTTTTTCCTATTCAGTCACCTTTTAACGTTTCTTGAACCTCCATCCTTTCTTTGGAAAAACACCCCTCTCAGACTCTCAGGACATGTGGTTTGGGTGGGGCTATTTCCTTGGTTTTAAAGATTGATATATGATGTGGAAACTAGGCAATCAAAGCACCTCCCCACTTCCACACTCCACGCCCACGTGCTTGCATGCGCGTGTGCACACACACAAACTCAAAAAGTTTTCTGGGCCTTGGGTGGCTGGGACTTCTGGTAGTACCAAATAGATGCCTAGCATACTACCAAGCTTTCTAGACAACAGAATGAGTTCGCATGCCAGGAAAGGAAGAGAGCCAGACTCAGTCCTATAATCTAATTTGTCCTCATGGATAGAGCCACTGCAGAAGTTGCATGATCTAATAAATCTTCTTTGCTTGAGTTTTTCGTTTGTTAAGCCTATTTAGTTTCGGTTGTTTGCAAATGAAAGAGTCCTAATAGTCATACACTACTATTTTTAAAAAATATATTCTTATAAGCAACTCTTTCTCCTACCCATTTCTTAAAAAGGACAATATCCCTTTGTCATTTCCAGGTGTTCCCCACATCCTACTTCTTCCTACTTCTTCCTGCTATCATCCTACTTATTCCTGCTAAATATCATTTTCTCACATTAATAAACACTGCAGAATCATTTTCTTATATTACCCCTCCTAGGTTTGAGTTCTTTTCCAACTAAGAATTTAAATTGAGTCAGCTTGCACCTAATATTCACCTGCTTCTGTTCTTCTAGAAGTTGGTATGAATTTATGGACTTGGATTATAAATTCCTCATGGCAATTACAAGTAAGATTGATATTTGAGTAGTTCACGGTTCCCCACACACTTAGAAATAAGTGTCAAGCAGTATCATTTGGACTGGTTAGTTGAAAATTGTATCTAGTGTAAAGTCCTTCACTCACATTTGACATACCTCAGAGGATTGTAAGTTGGGCAGGAATGGCACCTCAAGAACCTTTAAATGTTGAGTTTTACTATGATGCAGAACAGGTAAGATTTTTTTTCTTTGTGAAAATTTTCCTATAACTTGACCTCACAGTGAAAGTATGCTAAACTTACAACAAACCCATTCTCATATCACTCTTTCAGTTATTTATTGCTGCATTGTGACCCTTCAAAATGTATGTCTTGAAGCAATAATGCTTATTTCTCATGATTCTGTGGACTGTTTGGGCAATTCTTCTGTTCTCTGGAAGTGTGTATGTGTTTGTGTTGTGTTGGCACATATCATGTACCTGAGCTCACTTGGGGCTTCAATCAGCTAGCTGATTGGCTGGGATTAGGGTTAGCTGGGTTGTTTGCTGAGTACCTCGTTTCTGTCTTCTCTCAGCACTTCCAAGACTGCAAAAATAGAAGTTACAAGATCTCTTAAAACGTAGCTTTGCAAGCCATCCAGGGTCATTTCTAAAACTGCATTTTATTAATCAAAACAAGAATCAGCCCAGCTTAGGTAGGGTTGGTGATGGTGGGAATAACTTTACCACTTTATGAGAGATGTGGCAAAATCCCACTGTAGAAAGTGTGCAGGATGGAGGCTATTGTAACCATCTTTGGAAACAAGGTACCACACTTATTTTTATTTATAATTGGAGAAAAACTCCTTTTGATGCATACAGCAGAATTCTTCCTGAATCACTTGATACTCATAAAAGTATTCAAAATGAAAAATAATGTTTTTCATTCAGAAGTAAATATTTCTGAAGTGGAAACTATTAGAACATGCAGTTATTTATAAGTCACACATATGCTGGGATATTTTTCTTTTTCTTATATACACAATTGAGCTGATAATCTGTAAAACATGTAGGCCTTGCTCTTATTCAAAAAGGCAAAACATAAATATTGTTATCACTATCCATTCTGTCTTTTACTTTTCTCTGTAGTGTTTCAATTTTTTGAAAACATAAATGGTTTGGAAGGGCCATACAGGCCTTTAAACCA
Source organism: Homo sapiens (assembly GCF_000001405.40). Lineage (NCBI taxonomy): Eukaryota > Metazoa > Chordata > Mammalia > Primates > Hominidae > Homo > Homo sapiens. The sequence goes on along the minus strand of NC_000006.12, from coordinate 98,854,161 downwards.
AAGTATTGCATTATGTAAGTCTGAAAAGTGCAGCAGTATATGCAAGATGCTTGTCTTTTGCATTTGAGATATTTTTAAATGTTCTATGAAGTGTGATTTATTCAAAAGTTTTACATAATTTATATAGTTTTAAAACAAAAACTCTCAAGAATACAAATATGTGTGTAAAAATATAAAGACATTCATAGAAATGGTAAACACCAAATTCAGCATGGTGGATACCTCGGGTGAAGAAGAGAGGAAAAGGTGATCAAGCAGCTGTAACTCAGGGGAAGTAACATGTTGGCAATACTTTATTTCTTAAACTGTGTGATAGGTGTGCAGGTAATTGTTAAATTTTTCTTTATATCTTTCTATGGAAAATACTGCAAAATTATAAAGAGAATTTTATATTTTATATTTATCATCTAATTAAGATGCCATCAGATCTATGCTACATGAAGCTTTTTCAGAAATAAACTTTTTTATTGGTTTCTAAAATGTTGCCTCACTATAGAGATAATTCTGAAAATTTAGCCTCCCATGCGGTACCATTTCATAATAGCTTTTTCCTTTTCTTTCCGATTTGAGAGACCATGCTAATAACAGCAGAGAGGCAGGGCATCCTGCAAGTTTTCCCACTCCATACATGCACCTTCTAACTCAGAGCCAATAGCCTCTCTAGTCCACTTAGTTGCATCTGAGAGGTTATGGTACATTTTGTGAAATATACAGGGGGTATATGTGGGAGTAGTTTGTCTACATCTGAAAAAATGCTAGCAAAATGACTCCGAAAACTTTAATTCCCTTAACAAATTAGAGCAAAATTTTATTCTGACAAATGTTACATAAAATAATTTCTTGGTTTTTTCCCAGTAGCCTAAAAATTTTAATTTTTTTTTTTTTTTTTTTTTTGAGATGGAGTCTCGCTCTGTCGCCCAGGCTGGAGTGCAGTGGCGCAATCTCTGCTCACTGCAAGCTCCGCCTCTCGGATTCACGCCATTCTCCTGCCTCAACCTCCCAAGTAGCTGGGACTACAGGCGCCCGCCACCACGCCCAGCTAATTTTTTGTATTTTAAGTAGAGATGGGGTTTCACCGTGTTAGCCAGGATGGTCTCGATCTCCTGACCTCGTGATCCGCCCATCTCGGCCTCCCAAAGTGCTGGGATTACAGGCGTGAGCCACTGTGCCTGACCAAAAATTTTAATTTCTAACTAACATTTTCAGGTGAAAAGTTTTTTTTTTTAAAATATGAATGCTATGTAGGGAGCTTCCAAGAAAAAGAAATTAATGACCTCTGGTTAGCTTTATTTTAAATAAGAAGTGGAAAATAGAACTAACTTAGGTTGACTATCTATAGCACAGAGAAGAAGAAGAGAAATTATGTGGAAGTCAGTTCATGCTCTGTTTTTATTTTTCCCCTAGCTTTATTAAGGTATAATTAACAAATAAAAACTGTGTACATTTATGGTATATAACATTTTGATATATGTATATTTTATGATATGATTACATCAAGCTAATATATCATCCATCGGGAGGCCAAGGTGGGCGTATCACGAGGTCAGGAGATTGAGACCATCTTTGCTAACACGGTGAAACCCCTATCTACTAAAAATACAAAAAAAAATTAGCCAGGCGTGGTAGTGGGCGCCTGTAGTCCCAGCTACTCAGGAGGCTGAGGCAGGAGAATGGCGTGAACCCAGGAGGCCGAGCTTGTAGTGAGCTGAGATCGCGCCACTGCACTCCAGCCTGGGCGACAGAGTGAGACTCCATCTCAAAAATAAATAAAAATAAAATAAAATATAAATATATATATTCCATCACTTCATATAGTTGTTTATTGAGGTGAGTATATTTAAGATCTAATCTATTAGAAATTTTCAAGAATACAATACATTGTTATTAACTGTATTCATCATGATAAACAATAGATCTCTGTAACTTAGTCACCCTTTCTAACTGAAACTCTACCCTTTAACCAACATTTCCCCACCCCTACCTCCAGCCCCTAGCAATTACCATTTTACTCTCTGTTCTATGTGTTCAACTTTTTTAGATTCCCCATGTATGTGAGATCATGTAGTACTGTCTTTTGGTGCTTTGCTTATGTCATTTAACATAATGTTCTCTACATTCACCCATGTTGTCACAAATGACAGGATTTTCTTCTTTTTTAAGGCTTTGTAGTATTCGTGTGTGTGTGTGTGTGTGTGTGTGTGTGTGTGTGTTATTCCTTTATCCATTGATCCATTGATGGACACTTAGATTGATTCCATATCTTGGCTGTTGTAAATAATGCAACAATGAACATGGGAGTGCAATTATCTCTTTGACATACTGATTTTATTTCCTTTGAATATATATCTAGAAGTGGAATTGCTGGATCATAGGGTAGTTCTATTTCTTTAGTTTTTTGAAGAGACTCCATACTGTTTCCCATAATAGCTGTACTAATTTAATTTCCCACCAATAATGGACAAGGGTTCTCGTTTCTTCACATCCTCTCCAAAACTTATTTTTTCTCTTTTTTATAGTAACCATTCTAACAGGTGTGAGGTGGTATCTCCTTGTGGCTTTAATTTGCATTTTCTCTGATGATTAATGATGTTGAGCTTTTTTTCATACACATGTTGACCATTTATATGTCTTCTTTTGAGAAATGTCTATTCAGGTCCTCTGACCATTAAAAAAATAGGCTGTTTTCTTGCTACTGAATTGAGTTTCGTATATAATTTGGATATTAACCCTTTATCAGAGGTATGGTTTGCCGATATTTTCTGTTGACTCTGTTGATTGTTTCCTTTGCTGTGGAAAGCTTTTTAAGTTTGATGCAATCCCATTTGCCTGTTTTTGCTTTCCTGCCTGAGTGTTATGGTCAAATCCAAAAAAATCATTCTCCAGACCAATGTCAAGGAACTTTCACACTATTTGTTCTTCTAGTAGTTTTACAGTTTCAGGTCTTACATTTAATTCTTTAATCCATTTTGAGTTGATGTTTGTATATATCGTGAGATACAGGTCCAATTTCATTTTTCTATGGGTGGATATACAGTTGTCCCAACATAATTTATTGAAGAGACTATCCTTTCCCCATTGTGTGTTCTTGGCACCTTTGTGAAAGATCAATTGACTGTAAATGCATGGATTTACATATAGGCTCTCCATTCTGTTCTATTGGTCTATGTGTCTGTTTTTATGCCAGTACTATACTGTTTTGATTACTTAAGCTTAGCAACATACTTTGAAATCAGGTAGTGTGATGCCTCTAGCTTTGTTGTTTCTGCTCAAGATTACTTTAGCTATTCAGGCTCTTTTGTGGTTCCATACGAATTTTAGAATTTTTTTTTCTATTTCTTTGAAAAATATCATTGGAATTTTGATAGGGATTGCATTGAATCTGTCAATCATTTGGGGTCATATGGACATTTTAACAAATATCAATTCTTCCAATCCATGAACACAGGATATATTTCAATTTATTTGTGTCTTCAATTTCTTTCATCAATGTTTTATAGTTTTCACTGTACATCTTTCACCTCCTTGATTAAGTTTATTCCTAAATATTTTATTTTTTGGTTGCTATTATAAATGGGATTGATTTCTTCATTTCTTTCTCAGATTATTTTTTGTTAGTGTATAGAAATGCTACTGATTTTTTGTATGTTGGTTTATATTCTATAACTTTATTGAATTCATGTATTAGTTCTAAAAGTTTTTTGATGTAGTCTTTGGGGTTTTCTATATGTAAGATCATGCCACATGCAAACAGAGACAATTTTATTTCTTCCTTTCCAATTTGAATCCTTTTACTTCTTTTTCTTGCTTAAATGCTCTGGCTAAAACTTACAATACTATATTGAATGAAAGTGGTGAGAGTGGGCACTTTAGTCTTGTTTTTGATCTAAGAGGAAAAGTTTTCCATTTTTCATATGCTCTTTATTTAAAACCAGGTAATCTCAGTTACTTTACACTATATTCAAGAGAATATTGACATATTTGTATTCCACTGGCCCCTATTCAAATTGCCTTCCTTTTTCCTAACTGAAATCAATACAGTATACCACTCCTATCTTTTAAAGTCTAGGAAACCTTAGAAAGGGGTTTTTGTGTTTTAGGAAGTGATATTAAGTATAAACAAATGTCTTCTCCCCAAACATGACCTCTCATAGTTTTAGTTGACTGAATGTGTTAAACAAGGAAAGTTTAATGTATGTCTAAATTTCTTTAAAATAGACTCCTTTCTTTAGCTGTCTTAGAAACAAATAAACATTTGGATGAAAATATGTGGCAGAAGATACATGAAAAAGAAGTGATATGTCTCAAGCAGGTCTCATTCTCTAGCCTGGGTGCTGTTCTTCTATAAAAATTTCTCCACACCATGGATAGCACCTACTACAAATGAAAAATGTGAGACCTCAGATTCACGTACGTTTTTTCTTCCTTCACATTCTTGCAGTTACAGAGGTACCATTTATTAGCATGTATTCTTAATGAAATTTCCTGAATTGAAATTAAGTTGTTTTTACTAGGGTCAGCATTAGAGGTATTTCAGTAAATAGTTAAATGTTGCTGAAAAACCTGCTATCCTGGTGACTTCGTGATATTCCTGGGAGGGGGTGGGGGAGATGGAGGAAGGAAAAGAGAAATAAACTAGTAAAATTAGCACATCTAAAACTGAACACAATTTCTACAATTCTCTTTTGTTCTCATCTGTCTATGCTTGTCCATTTTCTTCCTTAAAAATGTAATCATGGTATCACCATTCTTTTGTCTTTTTTTCCCCCTACAGCCATTCAGGCACCAGTCATTTGCCTATCCTTTTCAAATTTCCCTGACTGACCACTTTGAGTCAGATCTACACCAGCAACCTCCTACCTAGTTAACCTCCCTGCTTTCATCCTTACCACTTTCCAACCTATCCAATGCACTGTGCCAACTCTCTTCCTTCCAGGAGCATTATTTCCATCGGATCTCCCCCTCTACGATGGCTCTTAATTGCCTTTTGAGTCTAATTAAAACTTCTTCCAGACCCTCTACCAATTAACTCCATACACTGTTTCCCTTAGCAGCCCTCTCATGCCAGGTGCCAGCTCCTGCTCCCCGGCCCAGCCCAGCAAACCTGCTCGCCCTCTGCCTTTTCCTGCTTCCTGCCTCACATTGTGCCAGTTCCCTTCTACCCAGAGTGCCTACTCCACTTCTCTCTTCTTTCTGCCAAAGCATTCTTCCTTTTTTGTTTTTGAGATTGCTAAATCACCTCCTAACTAACTTTGATTACTCTAAGGGTCCTAAAGTTCTGCATTTAGGTCTGTTCTTTTGGAAATGCGTGTGTCTTCACGTACCTGCATTATCGACACCTTGCAGGGAGCAGTGCCCACATATCCTGGTTCAGGGACTCCGGCGCTTGGCGAGAAGTCCGGCTCTTTGGGGCTAGTGGCTTGGTCTTTTCCACGACCTGGTGAAAGTTCCTCTACTGCCAAGGCCTTGGCTCATGTCAGACCTGCATTCTCCCTGGATGTTCTGGTTCCTGCCTTGACTTCCCTTTCCCGCCCGTAATGTGCGCTGCCCTGGAGGTCTCAGGCAGCCACAGCCCCCCTCTCCCCCCGACCCCATTGCGGTGGAACACCGGAAGGGTCAGGGCCCTCCAGGCGTTCGGAAGGCAACTATGTAGGAGATAGCACGGGCTGGGGCCGCTTGGGGAGGGGACTATAGGCTGCAGGTGGCTTCCCGGCAGAGGCCGCTTCCTGGTCTTCGTGAGGCGGCTTGGCCTGGGTCCTGAAAGGTGGCGGGGTGGCGGGGGGAGCCGCCAAGCCGAGGCCCCGCTGCTCCCCGAGGCCCCACTGCTCCCCTCTGTGTAGCGGCTTCAGACCCAGACCGCCTCTCGTCACCCCCGTGAGCTCCTGAGGACACGAAGTGTTCATAACTCTTGACCCCAGCACAGCCCAGGAGGCCCTGCGCTGCTCATGCGGCAAGAGGGAGGCCGGGAGGGCGGAAGCGCAGCCCTCTAGCCTCCCGCAGCGAAGCCGTTCCTTCGTCCCTGCTTCGGCCATCGGAGCCTGCCCGACACACACAGGAGCCCCGGCTCCCCAGACGCCAGGCCTGGCTGGGCGTCCCAGGGGCCCTCCGCTCTCACCCAAAGGGGTGCCTGGCCTAGGCAGGCTCTGCTCGAGTGGCGGAGGGACCCCCACATTGCGCCGGCAGAATGGCCCTTGGGGAGGTGAGAGGACTTTCCGAGTGGAATGGGACCCCTAAGCCCACTCTAGGCACCGGCTTTCACCGCAGCGCCACTCCCGGCGACTCCAGGATGTCGCGGGGCGCCTGTGGGATCCACAGCGTCCTGATTTCCAAGTCCAGGGACTGGAGGTGGCCCTGGGCCACTGGGGCTCTCTAGACGGGAGGCGTGTGTGGATTCGTGAAAAGCTGCGGGTGATTAGTGCTGCTGCTGTTTCGTGTGTGTGCTTGGTTTTAAGTGCATGAGCCTAGTATTCTCTTCCTAATCCAGGCTGCTATAAATGACACCACAGATGGACACTATAAACGTCAGGAGTTTGGAAGATGTTGAAGAAATGGAGTGCTTTGCAAGAGTACGGGGCTAGCCATCGCATCACAGGAGCTACAGTCGCTGCAGTCACTGGTATGTGGCGCCAGGGGCCCGACTGATCGTTTCAGCTACAAGTCAGGACCTGAACATGCTAAACACAAAATGTCTCCTGAGTGGCAGCCCCAATTTAAAGCTAAGCAGAATCGGTGGTGCCTTCCCTGGATAATGCAACTGAGATGACTGTCCTGCATTTCTCTTCCCCCACACAAATAGACGTAAGGCTATATGGTTATTTTTAAGTTAGAAAACATTTCTTAAGCCGGGCACAGTGGCTCACATCTATAATCCCAGCACTTTGGGAGGCTGAGGTGGGGGAATTGCTTGAGTTTAGGAGTTCCAGACCAGACTCTGCAACAAAGTGAGACATGGTGGCACATGCCTATAGTCCTAGTTACTGTGGAGGCTGAGATGGGAAGATCCCTTGAGCTCAGGAGTTCAAGGCTGTAGTGAGCTATGATTGCACCACCGCAATTCAGTCTGGGCGATGGAGAGAGACCCTGTCTCAAAAAACAAAACAACAAACATTTCTTATTAGTCACAGCAAAGACCTCCATTGGAGTTGGCAACAGTAGTGCTTCAGGTTGGATTTGCGGTAATTTATACAATGCTTTCATATACATTATTTCATCCGAGCCTTACTTCAACCCTGTTGCAAAGTTTAAAAAGGAATATTATCCACATTCTGCACATGAGAAAACTGAGATCTGAAGATGTCAACTGACTTTCCCCCGTTGCTGGTTAGTAAGCATAGAAGTATAGACAAACACATGTGTTCTGACTGCAAATCCTTTGCCCAGTTCCATTAATACTGCTGGGATCTGCCTGAAGTCCATGTCCTTTCTCTTCTTCTCCTTGTCGTGTTACTTTGGATAAAGGCGGAGGGAGAAAACAACATTCATGGTGCAAATGGCCCATAGTATGGGAGGACAAATGCACTGGGCTCTGAGGGAAGCAAAGTTCAGCTCCACAGGCTGAACTGATACCTTTGGTGGGAGTTTCTAGGGGAATGTTTTCCCTAGTCTGGAAAATTCTTCCATGGATGAGTTTCTGTTCAAGTGATCCACTTTTTAAAAAACTCACTTTTGAGTGGTAAAACTGAACAAACCTACTATAGAGCAAGAAGTGTCTGATGAAAACTGGGCTGGGTTAAAATAGCATTTGCTGGACTCCATTTTTGCTGATTGAAGCATTGTACCTGTTATTAACCGTGGCTTCTAACCTGGTATTCTGGTCTTAATGCCTGCCAAAAGCTGAGGCTCCTTAGAGAGACTAAAGACTTATCTGCTACAGCCTCAACATGTAGGAACTAAGGAACTGGGGAAGTGATTCTTTCTTCCTACCTTTGGGAACTTTTCTGGTATAGAACGTAGTGTCTTTTCTGGCTAAACTTTTCAAATATCTACTCAGGAATTACCTAGAACTAAATGTTTAGAAACCCTTGTAGGGGTCATATGCGTAGTCACCTTCATAAGTGTTTGCCTAGGAGGGGTTGAGGGAAAGAATGTAGAGTGAGGAAGGAGAGGAGTAAGGGGAAGGAGAATTGGATCTGAAACAAAAACAGTTGTGCTGACTGGGAGGCTGTAAAATCAAAGGTAGTTCCGAGCCGATGCCACTGTGGGGCGCCAAAGTTCTACTCGGCTAAGGCCCGCCGCTTTCTTGGGTGCGAGGACAGAAGTCCTGGAGAACAGATGCACTGAGGGAAGAGAGCGGGGAGGAAGGAGGGAAGGGAAAGGAAAGGAGGGGTGGGGCTAGGGTGTCCTTTATTCTCCAGTTAAACTCGCCTGGGAGACTTTGTTACATAACAAGTCTGTGCGTGGGGGAAAGAAGACTTTGTTAGACGGAAAGAAGGAGGGTGTGGGGAGGGGGTGAAGCTCTTAGAAAAGAAGAAAATCTCGGAATACTGAGTTGACTTGGGAGCACAAACGGTCCTCGTGGCTTCAGAGACGCTGGGGCTTATTCTCAAACTGGGGCCACCACCTTTTTAAAAGGGCTAGCGAGGAGGGGAGATAGGTTTGGAAAGGGTACCTTCCCCGACCCGCCACCCAACACATACAAACCATAGACCCCGCCCAACCTCCCGGCCCCTGGCCCCACTTGCTACCCCCTCCTATGCCTGGGGGCTGCTGCCTCCACGAAGCCGGGCTCTTTCTCCTCCGGGTAGCCGCGGCTCCATCTGCAGCCCCCGAGGACTCCTCAGCCGGGATAAAGGGCGGCCTCCCCCGCCTGCCAGCGCCCAGGATGCTCAGCCGTCAGCTGCGGGGAGGCGCTGATTTCATTCCGGCGCGGCTTTCGCTGCGGGCGGCGAGGGGCGGACAGGCCGGGGCCCGCGGGGCGGGGCGGGACGGGGGAGGGAGGCAGCGGCCGCGACCTGGGGAGGCTGAGCGCCCCGGCCCCGCCAGGATTTATTACATCCCAGCCACTGGCAAAGGTTAGGAACGCGCATTTGGAGACGGGATAATCCAAGTTTAAATATTAAAAGTAAAAGCAGAATCGGTCGAATATTTACCTAGAGACTGAGCAGATCAGATCTCCCTTTGCGAGGGGAGAGGACTGTGGAGGAGCCCGGCTCCCAGGCCCGCGGCTCTAGCGCTGCGCTTCCCCAGTGGCATCGCCTGGGACGGCCAGGACCCACTTCTGAAGCTTCCTCAGACTGTGGTTAAGGGGGGCGGACCGCGGATCCCCTCGCTCTCCCAAGTCTATCGGAGTCGGTGGGGCTTGGTCCAGATCTTCTGCTTTGTATATTCTCTTTTTTAAGGGCCTCCCGGACCAACACAAAAGGTGGCGGAAAGTACGTTGGATCAATAGCAAAGATTGTTATTTAGATAACGAATTAATCTCCCTGTTATAGTACTTTTTGTAGTGAACTTTGCACCCCTTTCATAAGAAAAAGGAATTTAGAGAGAGAAGAAAGTCTCAAACAGGATTAAGGTTTTAATTACAATTCCCTATCGAAATAGTATGTTTGATGAGCTGATCTTATCAATTAATAGTAACATTAAAGCACAAGAAACAGATTCACGGAAATATGCTTAAAGGAGCCTTTAAAAAGTAATCGCACTCGGGGAACTAGCGGGGCAGGCGGCCAGCGATGCTGCGTCCGAGCAGATTTCGGAACCCCCCTCTGCTCGGACTGGTCCAAGCGGGGCGCGCATCTGGGGCGCAGGATGGGGCGGGGGCGGCGGGCACGGCGCTGGGAGACCAGGCTACGCTGGTGGGAGGGAAATAATAAATAACAGACGCCTCTTCCAAGCCGAGGCCCACATCAAAGTTGGGGCCCCACAAGGGCCGTGCAGTTCACTGCATTTGGGTCAGCGTTATATTCCAGGGGCAAATAAAGTAATTTGAACATGCACCAACAGTTTTCCATAAAATACGAGTTAAAAGAAGTAATAGAACTAATCACTGTCTCCTCAAATCAAGTAGAAAACATTTCAATGCACTAATTAGAGTAATTAGAATAATAAGCCTCTGCCTATATGTGGTAAGACAATGTGTACAAACAACTTTATTTAATGTATACTGGTAATCAGCGATGCGTGCCTGCTTGAATGCTTAGCGCAATAAAACTACCCTCCGTCCGCCCAAACAATCAAACACAAATTAGTTTAATGATTGTGCCTGCTGAATGTCTTAGAAATCTACAGGCAGAGGCGAGTAAATAGAAGCATCCTTGTTTGCGTGCGACCCCGCCCGGGCTGGCCGCGGGGCCGGGTGAGTGGCCGCGGGCGGGTGCGGCGGGAGCAATCGGGAGGCTCCGCCGAGCCTGCAGAGGCCAGGCCCGGCGCCAGCACAGACCTGCGCCCCGCAGGAGCCCCTGCTGCTGCCCTTGGTCGCCTTCCCACTCCTCTCCGGCCAGCTTCCCGCCTCTGCGGCCCTGCGGTGCAGTTCTGGGCCCCAAACCCGCACATCCCCAGCTCGGCCTCACCTCCTCCGAGAGGCGAAAGGCCGCTTTAGAACTCTCCCACCGCCCGTTTGCGACGCTTTTCAGAGCTGAGTGATTTCCTCTCCCGGGGCGACTCCTTCCAGGGGCCTCGGAGGGCTAAGGGGGATTTCTGCGGGCCCTGAGAGCCCCCAGTTCGCGGAGATGGACTCTAGGCCTCCAGTACTGAGGCGCGGCCCCTCACTTTCCGGGCCCTCAGCTCTGGCTTGAGATGCCGGGGTGCCCAGAGGGTCTCCCGGGCTCCCTTCTCTAGGGAACTGACTTTAGGCCCAGCAGGGGAGTGGTTTCCAGGGGGTCTAAGAATTCGTTTTCCCCCGTGCTTCAGCTCTTAAAGAGTAGGTTCCTCTTCATTGGAAGCAGGGAGCTGAGGTCAGAAACACCCAGAAGTTTGATGGGTGGGAGCTGAAGGAAACCTGCCTCAGAACTTTGCTCCCCAGCTCTCAGCTGTCCCCCTTCATTCTCACAAATACCGCCCGCCCCCCTCAAAAAAGCAGGAAAAGCCCAGATTACTGTACTTCCCTGGGCAGCTGTCCCCCTTTCCTCTCCAGTCTTCCTGCACTTGTCTCATCTCCCTCTTTCTCTTGGGGCACCATCTTCCACAGTTGCCTCTGCCATGCAGGTGCAATGTCCTGGGCCCGACTCTGCAGAGTCAAGTGGAAAAGCCGGGCAGGCAAAAAGCTAGGAGACTCTCCTCCGGGCCTCGAACCCTTGTCACTCCTAGGCCCACTGCACCTCTGCCCCAGCCACGCGTGCCCCCAGAGAGGGCTTGCCAACTCCTGCGTCTAGAGCCCACTTTCCCGGGGCGACGGCTATACCCAAGACATCTGGACTCCTAATCGCCACCGCTAGCCTCTGCTGGGGGCAAACCCACCAACCGTGCCCGTTACCCCTAGCCCGCTTCCTTGGGAAGCGATAGAGTGGAACAGCTCGACGTCCGAGCTGTTGACCCTTCCCCTGGGGGTCCGGGCGTCGAAGCCTGGGGAGCCGCAGAGAATCCCTGATTTCCAGGCAGGAACTCAGGGGCTGTTGGCAGCGTCCCGAGCGAAGGCCGGGGCTGGGAGTGCAGGGAGTGCCCCGCTCCTTTCCCTGTCTCTCTCCTCCCCGCGCGGCCGAGCTAGGCTGTCTGGGCCTTCGCGACAGCGGCCAGGGTCCCCGAGGTGGGGGGTGCGCGGCAAGGCCAAGGTACCTCTTTTGCGACTGGGCAAGGAGCAGATGTTGGCCGGCAGCACACTCGCCCGCCTTGTCCAGGTGCTGCACCAATTTTGAAGCAATATTTGTTAGGGGAACAACATCAACAAAAAGTTATTAATGCCAAATAATTGTCTCCAGAATCATGTGCTGTAGAACATAACAGTTCCCCTGACGAAATGAGATTTCTTAACAGGAGGAGGAAAAGAACTCCTAACACTTTCCACATAGATTTGCCTGAACCTTGAAGCCCAGTGATTTACAATGGCTAATTTGTGTTACAAACCCACAAGAAACTTTCTTTTTCCCATCCTCCTGCCAAAGTCTCTGTGGCCATATTTTTTGTTGTGTGGCCTTTTTTTCCTTCTTTCCTTTTTAAACAACAAACCCAAAGGAAACACTGGTGGGAGGAAAAATACATTACCCAAATAAAAAAGGACGCAAATTCAAATTTAGTCCACAGTGAGATTTCCTATTGCCGTCGCTCGACACACAGAGAGTTAATCTTATACAATTCATAACAATCAAAATCCCCTCCATATCCCTCAGATGGGGTCCTAGTGCTCCCCTGTCTTCCTAAAATTGGTGACAACTACGTCTTTGTGGGGGATTTATTTCCTTCTTTTTTTCTAGGTGACAGCTCCCCATTCTGAGAGCAGAGAGCTGTTTGCCGCCAACTAGAGACCACTCCAGAGCCTAGGCTCTTCACGCACAAACCGCATATGGAAGTCCCCCCCTCCCCAAATCCCAGACAAAGAGCTATAAAAACTCAGAAAGACATGGAAGGAATAAACTTTAGGCTATAGATGCACTTTTACTGGTGTATTAAATAACATTTCAGACCTTTTTTTTTTAAAAAAAAGAAAGGCAACTTAATCTTACCAACAATCAGAATTCTAGGAACAATAAAAGAGGCCAGGATTGTTTTGATGGGATATTAAATTATTTCTAAAACCTCTAACAGCTAAGTCAAGCAGAGGTGTCTTTAAGATAAAGGAAGGTACTATATGATTAAGTTTATTAACTTTTCTTCTTTTAAAGGAGGGAACAAATTTCCCAGTTTCCCACCAAACACCAGAAAAATGTTAAAATATTCATTGTTTCCTTATCTCCTTATCAGCCAAGCAAGGCCTTAGGAAAATGAAAAAAGCCATTTTCTGGTACCCTCATGCCTGCCTGATAAGGAGGCATTAAAATAACACAGGACCAGTTCTGAAAACCTGGGTCAGTTAATTCCATGATTTGTTAGCTGGGTGGCAGGCCCCTGCCACTTTTGCCTTGTTTCCCATCCTGAATCAAATGGTGGGAATAGGTAGCAGAAGCCCTGATTCTTTCCTATGGCCATCTGCCCCTTGTTAAAAGAATATGCATCATTGAAAAGTAAACTTTCCTAAACAGGGAAAATGTTTATAAAAAACTTAGTTGTACATTCCATTTAGTTATAATATCAAGATTCATAGTACTCCAAGATGCATCTTTTTCTTTCATTTTAAATAAACACTGTCCTTTGCCCTACTCACTGAAATATACAAGCAGACCCAAAGAATCACTTTTACCTTTGACCCTCACTTCACCAGCCTTCTTTCTTTTTCTGTACAAGTTCCATTCTTTGCCTGATTTTTAAACTTGTGTTGAAATTCAATAGAATGTAGAACAGAGTTCTATAAACTGTTTGAAAATTCAACCAAGACAAATCACAGAGACTAGTGATAGAAAGATAATTTAACCTGGCTCCCCAGCACTACTCAAACTGCCTCCAAAGTAAGGCAAGTGAAAAGCAAATGAATGCAGCATATAGACATACGTGCAGGTACCAATGCACCCAAATGCCACCCCCTCCCCCATTGCTGCTGTTGCATCTCTTTATTAGTTGCTTTTGAAAAAAGAAGGTAGATGAGTGTCTTTACCAAAGCCATTTCACCAGAAATTTTGCCAACCAGTGTGTGGCCTCCACTGGTAGGAGCAGGAAGGGAAGAGGAAGAGAACAGTGCTTTTGTTGCTACCATCTGAAATATAAAGGCGGCTACTTCGTGGGAACCGAGAATGTTTAGGACGGCCAAACGTAATATTATTTGTGGCTATTCCCTCCATCTGACCTTCACATAACTCTTTTTCACATGGTCATTTCTCCCCCATATTATTACATAAATTTTACAAGTAACATATTTTGAAGAAACACAGGAGGTCTTTGGGATAGCTGTATTCTGCATTGTCTTAGGAGAAAGAAAGGGTTTGTTGTGACGGCTAGCCAACATCTTAGGGGCAACTGCCCCAGAAATTTCTCCCAGTGGCAGTGATGGGGTTTTCCACCTTAGTGTGTAATACATTCCCCAAACCAGTGTGGCAACTATTCGAGTAGCCTTAGGATCTGAACAGAAAGCATGGGTCAAAACCATGGTGTGCACGTTTAACATGTGATGGTTTCCACTCAGCAGCCCCTGTGGCTAAGAACAAAAATGCCTTCTCAAGGTCCACTAAAATGCCCTGCAGAGGGCAGATGCTGCTTGTTTTCTGCCTGCAGTGGAGGAGAATATTGACCCAGAACTCAAATCTATACCCAGCTTAAACATTTTACCCATCAGCATATCTGCGGTCACAAAACACTTCTTCTTTCTGTCGCTTCTCATTCAGACTATTGATAAGATCATTTGGTGGAATCTGTTTGAGACCCATGTAATATTGACTAGGAGTTAGAAAAGATGATCAGATGTAATAAGCCCAGAAACTACTTTTCAAAATGGACATTTATACTTAAACCAATGTTCCAAGGAGGGCTTTAAATACATCAGCAAACTTGTAAACTGATCCAACACTGCTTGAAATTCTCACTAACCTTAAAACGGATTTTGGTACTGTTTCATCTAAGATTGTCTGAAACAATCTGTTATTAGCATCACGGCTTGAATCTCTCCCATATGTTCTTTTTTTTTCTTTACTTGCTTTAAAGCCCATTTGTATGCCTAATGAAAAATAGACACAATTGTATAAACCATTGTAAAATTCATCTTTTTATGCAAACCAAACAGGAATAATGTATAGGATCTACTTCTAATCATTTAGTAAACTCACAATAGTATACTATCAGGGTTATTCTTTGTTAAGAGATATTTGTAAATTATTAAAAATAATAATCTACTAAATCCTGCTTTTCTGTAGATCCCAAATTATTTGAGGACCTATGGGTAGAGATCAAAGTCCACCTAGTTCCACTGATGTTCTCCAAAACAGCACAATCGAATAAGGTATAGTTAACCTGGAAAGAAGATGCAGGCATATCTGCATATGTTTAAAGGGGACAAACATCTCTTTGTAGGACCATGAAATGGCAAGCAAATTGAAGCTCAAACCCAATGACCATTTCAATTTAATGCTACAGGCATAGTGACTGAAAGATTTGGGACTGATAGTTTTTGCAAAGTAAAGTGAATTAGACCAGTAGTCTCCATTAAAAAAAAAAAAAGCCTCTGAAAGTTATGAACATCAAATCTGGCAGTATATGCATAAAATTTATTCCAAAACTTTATGAAGTATAAAGGAAGGGAAGTGTTTTACACACAACTCAACTCAGTCAATTTAAGGTCTAGGGTTTTCCCCCCTTAAAACTTGGCACTATCTTTAAAAATAAAATAAAGATATTTCAATAATTAGAACAAACTATGAAGGTATTGTGCATTTCTGTTTTATGTAGATAATAAAATATTACTTTAACATAAATATATAAGGATCTCTGCGTTTTTATTTTCCCCACAAGCACAACCAAATGTACCAAAACAAAGTATTTTTTAAGAGACTGAACAAAAAAATTACATCCCATATAGATTTTGCTCACCTATTCATTTAAAGCTACAGAAAAACAGTTTCCAGAACCTTTTTGTTTCAAAAGAAATAAATATACATTGAGGCAGGCCACTTAAAAATGATATGAAAATATTTCCCTGGGTAGCATTAAAAAAAAAGAAAAATAGACAAAGAAACATTTAAACTATTTCTGCATTTCAAAAGACAGATATTAAACATATATACATAGTGGTAAGGTTCAGTGGTAACTTTCATCTTAGTAAACCTATAAGAGTCAGAGAAGCTGTAGACACATTCTCTGAACTCCAGCTTCTGACCTTACCTACTTGGTAATAAGTATCTGGAAATTCATTTCCTCCCTTTACCAGTGGCTATTTGCCCTGCTCTGGATAGCTTCACTAAAGGCCAGTTCCCATACCTCAGGAACGAGCAGCGTGATGCACCCGAAGCAGCTCCGTGCCCATCTCCTTGTGACATTCATTGGGGGAAATGAAATACAGGCAAATAAATATGCCCATTATAAGTCACCATTTATCTTGCAAAAACATGGAAAATGAAACAATCACAGGTGTTTGAAAAGACAATATAAAGCATATTTCCTAAAACCTTAAAGACTACTGAGTGCAATGCTAATCTGATGCTGAACCATAATTTTATGGTAGTGAGACTTTCATTTTTTAAAATAAAAATTTATCTAATACCTAACTGGAAAAAAACCCCCAAACTTTTAAGATTAATAAAAAGTGTTTTCCCTTTTAGCGCCCTTTTGTGCTGATTTTTCTTTTAAATTTTAACTGATCACAGTTTAATGGTATTTATTTTCAATACAGTTACAAGTTTTTTCACCTACACTTTCCAGTAGAGTCTTTTGTGTTTGGAGTTAACCGTTTTCCATTAAGATAAGGTCAAAAATTCACTTAAAACTATTAACAAAGGGGAGAAAGGAAGGATTGAAAATGGCATTTTTTTTTTTCACTTCATTTGCCTTCCTTAGTGAAAGAGGGGGCAGAAAGCTGTCCAAGTCAAAGTGGTGTATTCTGCAATAAATTACAGGAAAAGAGGGTGTGGGACCCTAAATATGACTTGATAAACAAATGAGCTAGTGAAGACAAAACCTGTCTACTGCGTGGAGATCGTCAGTGTATGCTGTGGGTATCTGTGTGCTAAAAAACACAGTCTTATGCATACACTATTAAGTTCCTGGGTCTTTTTTTATGTAAAAAAAAAGCTATTAGAGAAACAAAGTTTAACTGCTGCTGTCAGCACAAATAATTCTTCATAATTGTTACTAAAACTGAAGGTAGAGAACTATATAGGGATATCTGAAGATATGTACTTCCCTAGTTCTCTTCAAAGTGCCACTTTCTTTCTGCTGGACAACTCTGGAAATATATTTAACCTCCACATTTCCCCTGAGCTCTTTCACAATGGGCCCGCCTGATAAAATGAAGCAATCAGTCACTCACTATCGATTTTTCTTTTTTCTTCCCTCCATAACCTCCCCCAGAAACACTGCCTGAAAATGAAGTTTACTTTGTGGCTGGTAAGAACAACCAATGCTTATTTTTATATTCCAAACCGGATTCTTGCCTTCGATAAAGCGGGTAGACCATGCACATTTCCTGAAATCAGAGAATTGTCTATTTTGTATGAAGCCAATCCTTTTGCTTTGGTAAGAGGAACAAATAGATGTTACACCCTCGTAAGGGGAATGTGAAGGTAACCAAAGTTCACAAACAGTACGAAGAAGGGGCAACACAAGAACATTAGAAATGGAGAGTGGCCAAGAGCTGGCTTCAACTCTCTCCGATGAATAAAGCAAAGCAAAACAAAATCCCCCAAAACGGCAACTCCCAAATTAACGGTGGGGAGAAAGAGAAAATATGCTCATGAATTTGTTCACGTAAACTTCAATTTTCTTGCAGTGCAAATTTATGTGGTTAAATTTTGCCTATATGAAAGAACATGTGTATTTTTTCCTCTTTCCTGATGGGAATCCACAATAAATAAACACAGCAGCATGTGCCAACTCTAAGCATCAGGAAGCTGCATTTTGTGTTTATCATGGTTTGGTGGATTTTTTTTCCTTTTTGGTAATTTATTTAGTTTTGCCAGGTATTTATCTCAGTGCTTGCCATCTCTCTGTCTCTCTCTCTTTCTAGCTATCACACACTCTCCTCACTCTCTCCAGGAGACACTCCACTCCATTGCCTGGTTACTCGCCTGCAAAGGTCAAAACACATCATTACACCTGCTACCTTTAAAGGATAGTCCAGTGTCTTAGTTGCTTTCCTTTTGCCTTATTTTTTTTGTCTTTTTAAGGGACGGGGAAATAATAATTAAAAATAAAAGAACAATCAGAAGTTAGAGAGGGAACAAGAGGGCCGGGAAAGGGCCAAGGACCGAAGGGGAGGGGGAGCCCCGCGCTCTGCCCCTCCCCCAGCTCGAGTTCACTGGACGGGCGTCTGCACCCCGTGGTGTGGTGGAGTGTCCCTACTCCCCCCGTACACATCCTCGGCGCCCGGCAGAGTCCCTCCGGGAGGGGTCATCCTTTTCTCTTTCTGTCTCCTGTTACAAAACCAAACTCTCACCACCTCCTTCTCCAGCTGTAAGCTGTCCGCGAGGGAGGTGATCTCCTGGGCCGAGGGCTTGGGGCATTTGAGGAAATGGCTCTCCAGAGCCCCCTTGACGCTCACCTCGATGGAGGTCCGCTTTTTCCGCTTGCGCCCTTGCGCTGCGATCTTGTCTATGCTCGTGGGGCTGCCCGAGGACGAGTCCGCCTCCTCCAACCACTTGTTCAACAAAGGCTTCAGCTTGCACATGTTCTTGAAGCTCAGCTGCAGGGCCTCAAACCTGCAGATGGTGGTCTGCGAGAACACGTTGCCATACAGGGTGCCCAGAGCCAGCCCCACGTCCGCTTGGGTAAATCCCAGTTTGATCCGCCGCTGCTTGAACTGCTTGGCGAACTGCTCCAGGTCGTCCGAGGTCGGCGTGTCCTCGTCCGAGTGCGGGTCGTGGTGCGCGCCTGGGTGGCCAGGCGGACCCTGCGGGGGCGGCGGGGGCGGCGGCTGCTGGTGTGGGTGCGAGTGCGGGTGCGGGTGGTGGTCGGCATGGTGTGGCTCGTCGTGCGCGTCCCGCAGGCCGTGGTGGTGCAGACCGGCCGGCTGCCCGCCGGCGCCCAGCATGCCGTTCACCGTGAAGCTGGGCTGCGAGTAGAGCAAGCCGCCGTTGGACGCTCCCATGGAGGGTGGGAGGTGCGCTGCAGCCGCCGCGCTCCGCCATGCCCCGGGTCCCGGGTGGTGGTTAGCGGCGTGGTGCACCAGATGCGGCGGCCGCTGTTGCTGCTGCTGCTGCTGCTGTTGCTGCTGTTGCTGCTGCTGTTGCTGTTGCTGCTGCTGATGCTGCTGCTGCAGGGCGCCTGGCCCGTGCAGCTCGTCTCCGCGGCCGCCCTGCTGCACCACCACCGAGGGCTTGATGTCCGGCTGGCCCAGGGGGCTGGTGGACCACGGGGAGCCGTCGCCGCCGCCCCCGCCGCCGCCCCCGCCCCCCCCGCCGCCGCCACCGCCCCCGCCGCCGCCGCCGTGGGACAGCGCGGTGATCCACTGGTGAGCGTGGCTGAGCGGGTGTCCGTTGCTCTGCAGAGCGCCGTAGTCGCCCTGCACCAGGCTCTGCGCTTCGCGGTAGCCCCCCGCGCCCTGCTGCATGCCGCCGGGCGGCTCGGCGTGCACGATGGAGGCGCTGGAGGTGAGCAGGCTGTAGTGGTTAGACGCTGCGGTCGCCATGACTCTCGGAGCCGGACTGAGCGCTCCGGTTAAAGGAGCCGCGCATTTGACAGTTACTTTTTCGCCTCGGGCTCCCTCTCCTCGCTCGCTCTTTCTGTCTCCTCTCTCTCCCACAGCGGGCAGCTCCGACGCCCGCTCCGACGCCTTCTGTTGCTGCTCCTGCTATTACTGCTGCTGCTGCCGCCGCCGCCGCCTCCCGCCCGCCCTCGCTCTCTTTCTCCTCCTCTCCCTCCTTCTCGCTCTCGCTCACTCTCTGACTAGCTCGGCGCTCCCCCCTCTCCCTGCTCTCTCCAGCTCTCTCCCGCTCTCTTGGCAGCGCCGGCTCGCAGCGGCACGCGCCTGGGCCCCGCCCCCTCCGCCCCCTCCCATTGGCTCCGCGCCCTTTGATTTACGTGGATACCGCTAGCAACCTCCCAGGCCGGCGCCACTGATTGGCGCAGAGCTACTCCCTCCCCCTCCCCCGGGCTCGGAGTCCTCCTAGCCCTCCTCCCCGTCCCCTTCGCCTCCCGATTCAGATTCTCTCAGTTCTCACCCCCCCGCTTCTTCCTCACCCGGGGCCTCCTCCGCCCTCTCTCGGATGGGCCCCGCCCCCCATCTGTCTCCCAGGCAGAGAAGACCGGCAGGGGGGCGGTCCCGGTGCTCTTATCGGCCACAGACACTTGGAAGACTTGGATTGGGGTGGGGGGCGGGAGGCAGTGGTGTCCACTTTCGTTTCCCAATAGGGCTTTAAGATGGGGAAACGGAGGGGGTAAGGGAAAAGCTGGGTCGCACCGAGCCAGCGGGAGTCGGATTTTTATTCACCTAGGGACACACACACAGTGTGTATCTCTTAAACCTAGAGCCAAGAGCCAGACCTGTTCCCCTGTTCAACTCTCCTTGCATCCCACGGTTAGAATTTCAGTGCACAAGTGTCTCTTGCTCCAGGGTGTGCGGACACTTCGGCCCAAAGCTCTTCTCCTTCCCCTCTACCCCGCGGCTAGCACAGGCTCTCTTCCTTTTAGGTTCCAGGCCCAATTGTCTCCCACTCCCTTGGGGAAAGAACCCCGAGAGAGGCAGGCTCAGCCCGCACCGCGGCTTGTAAGTCATTCCCATCAAGGCTCGGAGTTGCTTGCTCTGACAGCGTAGCGGTCTGAACTGAAAACCAAACAAAACTCTAAAAGTCTCTCCGTCAGATTCACACGCCGGCGCGTGCAGTTTTTGGTTTAGAAAACTAGAAGCCTGCGTGGGCTCCGTCTTGTGCGAGGCTGCCGGAGTGCTGGCGAGGGGTGTGCGGCCTTGTAGGGGCGGCGCAGTCGCCAAAGGCCGCTCCGGGAAGCCGCGCGGAGGGCCTGCGTGCGCGATTCCCCGTGCTCCTACCGCTGGTAGGTGCAACTTTTCCGTTAGCCCCTTGGGAAGGAGGAAGAGTGTGTGAAGCAAATGGGCTGATGCCAGGGGAACCTTCCTAATCAGTAACTTCGGTGGGCGCTAGCGGGTGGGGTTAGTCTATGTCTTTGGCGCTCCCTGGCCAAGCTCCCAGCTCAGCTTTCAGCAGTGAACTCCAGAGCAAGACTATGGGACCATGCACCCGCAGCGCCGCTCTACGGAGCGCGGGCGCGTCGCGCCATCAGTTCTTTAGCCGCCCAGAGCAGGTGCCGCCTGCGAGTTTCCGAGCCTGCAAGCCCGGTAGCTAGAACTTGGGCGCGGACCCAGGCTGGAGCGGCGTGACCGCCACGCAGGGCCGGGTGTGTACATGGGCGCTGTAAAGCGAATCAACAGTTACTGCCGGGAAGGGAATGACAGACCCCAGGGAACCTGGATCGCGTCCCCACCTCTCACCCCTCGCTCTATCGCTGGTTTTGCCGGCGGTCGTAGGCTTGAGAGGGCAGCCAAATCAACGCTCAGAGGGAGCATTTTGGGGCCTCTGAGCATCTGAATCCAGACAGCAGACTGGAGCGGGCCAGAAAATTCATCATGACTAACAAGGAGTCATGCTCTTTGGAGAGTGGCTGAGCTGTTTATAAATCACCACGTTGAGCACCCGCCCGGGCAAGACGCTTTGGCTGAGAATTTCCACGTGTCCTGTGTTTATGAGCGTGTGTGGGGGAGAGAAATGGATAGGGGAGGGGCGAGCCCACAGGCCGCCAGCAGGACGGACCTGCACCCCCACCACGCGCGCACCCGCGCGGCGAGGCGAGGCGAGGACACACACAGCGTGTCGCTCCGTCCCAGCGCAAGCGCGGGGCCACTCTGGCCGCGCGCCTGGGGGCTGCTAGGAATCCCATAACTTTGTCTAGCTAGGAAAAAATGAACAAGTCCGAGCCTCAGCGCGCAGACTCAGCGACTGGTGCCCGCGGCTCCGCAACCGCGAGCCAAGGGGCTGGGTGGCGGGCAGAACCGCCTTCTCCCGGCTTCGGCCCTGCGTCCCCTGTGCTAGGCGCGTGACTTTCCCTGGGCCTTGGGGAGCGCACAGACAGCCCGCCAGCCGCATCTTCTCCTGACATGTCGTGCCTTTCTTTTCGCGGACCTGGAGCTCAGAGCTCCCACGGACAGAAGAATCCAGCCCTGGGGAAGGGCCGCGTCCAAGTGCTAAGCAGCTCATACTTCTCCCCCACCTTTCTGGGGCAGGTGTCTGCTTTTCTCTGGATTTAATTTCACATTTCTCGAGGCACAAGGCCTTCTGCAGCCCATAGGATGATACACTCGAAAGAAGAATGAAGTTTTCAAACACATCTTCGAAGGAACTGAGGCGGCCTGGCTCTGAATCAATTTAAAAGTTCCTCCTCCTCTTATCTTTCTCTCCACACCCCACCCCACACCCCCGCCCTCCTCCCGGCATAGGGCGCTAGTGTGAGGGGACAAGAATAGGCTGCACGTGTACATCAAAACTTCCTGTCTGCGATAGGACATCACCGGCGATTAATGCTGAGATCCTTCCCACGTTGACTTCCCAGGTCTCAACTCCAACTTCCATCCCCGTCTCATTTCGCTGGCGGCCAAGGAGCCGAAACGTTCCCAACAGGGTTTAATATACCCAATAAATCCCCGGGAGTACACAAAGAAATAGCCTACCCGGGGCCTCAGTCTCTGCACCCCACCCCCACCCCCAAGCGCGGCCAATCACCGGGCGGGCCAGGCTGGGCTCGCACCGCGGCTCTGAGCAACACCTCCCCACGAGCTACCGCCGCCTCCCCTCCAGGCGCCAGGGGCCCGGTTGGCGCGAACGCCGGGTTCCGAGCACCCTGGGCTTCCTTGTCTGCCTCCCAGCGCGGCACCTCTTCGGGGCTCCCGAAACCTGAGCTCTCGCTGGTTTTAGGTCCAGACTGGGGCCTCTCCACCGGTTCCTCCCCCGCCCCGGGCTCTGGGGCCCATTCTTTGGGCTGACCCTGTCAGGGCAGAGTCCGCGCGTCTGCCTGCCATTCTCCGCCCGCATAAAAGCACGTTGAAGGTGTCTCGGGCAGACACCTCCAGGTTTTGAATCAGTTTATTCCCTTTCACTGTTCAAAGCAGCTGTTCAAATACACAGGCTGCTTACGTTGACGTGGAGAGGATTTCAAACAACGCTAAAATGCTTTGAACTGACAAGGTGTCTTGATATCTCCCTCACTCCATCCAGCACAGCTCCTCGAGATCACTCGCTAGGACAATGGCTGAGCAGGCGATTCGTGCGGGCCTCGCCACCTCGGGGCGCGGACTGCGGGGTGTCCTAAGCCCCTTCCGCAAGGACAGGATGGAGGCACCTGTAAGGAGATGCTGGCGCCACCCCAGCTTCTCCCAGGTCCGGAGGAACCTCTACTCAGTCAATACCCTGAGCTGGACTTGTCTGAAGAAACGGAGCCGACTCCCTCTTGCCGGGGTGCGCTGAGTGGAGGGGAAACATCCTCGAATAACAGAACTACACCAAAAAGACACCCATGTTATCTCTCACACTTTCACACTCCTCGAGATAGTGAGCCGGACCTGGGTCTTAGTAGCACCCAGTACCTTGACACAAACCTCCCAAATTTCCACCTGAGTAACAGTTATGGGGTCAGTCCATGCACTGTAACTTGAACTCTAATTTATTAACTATTTCATCTAGTAAACACACTCACACCATATATAAAATAGCATTTATTTATTTCTATATACCAGGAGTTGGCAGAAAACCCACCGTGACCACTCCCATACATTGAGCTGGAGGCACACAATTACTAAAACAGAGGTGAAATGGTATTCATTTGATCTTAATTTTTTCTTATTTATGTAGTCCCAGGATAATAGAAATCAGGAAACAAAAGAAAACAAAGAATTTTCTGAGGAGATGGCCATTGGGGGAGTGGAGGTAGCAGCTGGTTTAAACCTAAGTAAAACTAGAAAAAGAAACTGCTGTTTCCTTTTTCTTATATCCACCTTAGAGGATCATGTTTGAACGTCCCTACTCCTCCTCCTCTTTTTAAAAAGCCTTGTCTCAGTCATTCATTCCTGTGCTTCCTGCTCTTCTGCTAGACCCCAGCAGCTGTTTGATTTGGTGAGGCCCCCCTCCAACCTCTGAGTGGAACTTCTTTTCTAAGGGCCTGCAGAATGTCAAAACTGAGGCTCTGGCTTCGGAGCTAGAGCTTTGAACAGCCAATCCACACAAAAAGGCAGCTGGCTGCTTTAATGAAAACTGCTATAAAGCTTCAAGAACTTTAGCCTTGGGGGATGCATTTATAAGGAACATGGAAAATGCATTTCCAAGTTGCTGGTTCTTGGGAGAGACATAATAAACATTTACCAAAAAAAAAAAAAAAAAAAAAAGGATAGAACTTACTATCTTTAATTATGCAGCAGCATATTTTTTCCTGAAGAAATAAAGCTTCCAATAAATTTGTATGTTACTGTCTATACCTATATTTTGCAAATTCCTAAATGTGCATCTGTCCTTGTGTAATAAAAGGTCTTGAAGAATGAAAAGTTTTCTGAAAGTTGAAACTCTCCTACGTCATATGCTTGGCAACTCTGTCCATACCTCACATACAAACAATTCTATTTTACCTTCACTACTGTGTAAACCAGTGAAATATAATGTCCTTAATTCAGTATTTGAAATAAAATTATCTGTATTTATAGATACTAATATCTTTCCCTTTTTCTTCAAGTTATAAATTTTATCATTAAAACAGTCCCCCCTTTGTAGTCTGCAAGTGAATATTTTATATACAGGGATGGCTTGAAGACATCTAACACCATGTCACCCAGATAGTCTAGCTGTTTCAAGGATTACTTTGAGTAATTTATCAAAGGAAGCCTGCTAAATCCTGAGCGGTGAATATGAGGCCTTAGGAGGGAGAAAACATAAAGGAAGCATTCCGTCGGTGTATAAGATAAATTCTGTTTGGAGGAGTTAATATAGCTTGTTTATACGAAATCTCAGAAACAGAACAAAAATCTCAGAAACAGAACAGGAGACAATTGGTGGCTTCCAGTTTGCTTCCCGCAATTTCACTTTCAAAGGACTAACAGTTAAATGACCTCTTAACAATGGAGCCTAAAGGTGTCTGTGTGTGTGTGTGCGCGCGCGTGTGTGTGCGCGCACACGCACACACAGGCACGCTCGCATTTTCTCCCCCTAGCCTTAAAGCAGGTGGATGGCTGGCCACCAGTAGGGGATGACAACTCTTTGATAAATTAAAGTGATTTCAACAGAAACCTCCTTAGCTCTAAAGCATTTGGAAATGTACTGGGATGAAGCTCTTGCTAGAGCTCCTGGCTTCTCTCATCCTCTGGAGCAATTTTCGAAGAGGAAGGCAAGCTAGGGACGAGTGCACTAACATACACCTGCGCACAGAGGCGGACTGGGGAAGTGGGAGGAGGGTGTACTCAGCTATTTCACTGAAGCCATTTTCAAGGGCTAGGGCTGTTGCTCCAGCCCTGGGATAAACAGGCGTATTTGGTTGAAGTTGGACTTCAGTTCTCTTATTCTGCCTGCACACAGCACGAATGCAAATCCTTCTGAAGTGTACAAGTGCACTTAACAATTGTGTCGTTAGTGTCCGGGAGGACGGCGGTTGGGGGGGGATGGGGGGGTGGGCGGGGAGGGGAGCAGGTGGTGCACGGGCGGGAGAGATGCTTTTCTGGAGAGCAGTTAACCACAGTCGTAATAACTGTGGGCCAAAATCTTCTGCTAGGTCTCAGAGTTTCGAATCTGTCATTCTAGACAGCTTTTGGACATCATAAAGTTAGAGATGATTGTATTTTTAAAGACAGGTTTCCAGAATTTGGGTCCTGGGAACATAGGGGCAGACGTTGGCCGGAAGAGGAGGCAGGAAGAGGAAGCCTTAGGCAGATTGGAGCAGGGAGACCTCCTGGCTCCTCTTGTCTTTTCTGAGAGTTTTCGATGGTAATCTAGGGCAGCCGGGTCCCAGCATTAAATGCAAAATAGGAAAACAGAACACGGCCGAGTCATAGGCCTGATCATATTAACGCCCTAGGTCAGAGGGAGAGAATAATGAATAGGCACGGAGCTCAGTTCGTGGAAGGGAACTTAATTAACCTTGGGAGAGTGAAAGAAAGTCAGAGATCATGCCTAGTACTTCGGTCTGGGGTGCTTATATTAATATGTGTGTGTGTGTGGTGTGTGTGTGTTGGGCAGGGGAGAAGTGTAGTCTGCTCAATGCATTTTTCTAATATATATATTTTTAACCCTGGAAAAAGCTGGAGTTACTCCTCAGGGCCATCCAAACACCCACACAATCCCTGCAGGGAACTCCCCTGCGGGAGCCCCCGAACTCGGTAGTGAGGTCCTGTGTCCTAGCCTCGGCCCGCGTGGGGGGATCAGTGGGGGTAGAAAGCGAGAGCTAAGGCTTCCCAGCGCCCTGGACTGACCCGGGGAGAGACTGCTATGGAAAGGATGGAGGTGGGGGTGGCGGGGAGGGATGTTCCGTGGTCGAAGAGCGCCTAGGCAGGTCCTGGCTGGGATCCGGGGGAGGAAGACGAGGGCGAGAAGCAGGAGGCCGGGCCATTGTCCAGGGAGGGCGCATTTTTGTCCGGATGCTGCTGGTTGCTATAGCGAGGAGGGAAATCCAAACAGAAAGGCTCAGTTCGCCTCCCTCGGGCCTGGGAGCAGCCCTCCCTCCTCTTAACCAAAATAAAAGTGCCGCCTGGGGCCTGGCACCCTTTCCCTGAGAGCCGACTGCGGGCTCGAGGAGAAGGGCCCGGAGGACCTGGGCACTGAGCAAGGGAAGGGGGGCCGGCCCCGCGGGGAATGGCCAAGCAGCTTACTGCTGGAGCAGGCAGAAAGCCCCAGCTACCCTCCCCATTTCGTCCCCCAGCCCAACTGTTTTCCTGTCCCTATTTTGTTTAGGAAAAATCCCACAACTTTCTCCAACTTATGCCTTCTCAGTAGTTGAAACCCCTTCTCCGTCTGGGCTCATGTCAGCGATTCCGCGTTGAAGGCGCGGTCCTAGCAGAGGGACCCGCACGCGGCGCGGACAGTGTACAGAGGAGCGGCAATACCAGCGGCAGAACGGCCTGTTAGGAGAGTTTAAAAATCACTCAAAGGAAAAACTTACTAGAAAGAAGTGTAGTTGCAAATTTCTCACATTTAAAAGAGACTTTTATTTTGCAATAGGTTTTTTTTTAATGTCTTGCTATTCAACTTTGAAAACAGTGTGTGAAGGGAAGGTTACAATGAAGACTTTTTACTGCTTATAATTTCTCCAATAGTATAGCTCAGAAGAGTGAGGGGAAAACAGTAAATATTTAGTTAATGATGAGCTGTTAGCTTCAGAAAATTTTGAGTTTGTTCTTTTAAAAGGGCAGTTGTATAGTCTCCTCTATCTCAGATAATGAGTTAAGATTTTATTTGTAGGGACAAGTTATCTATACCAGAAGGACGTGGATAGTTGGAACTTGAAAAATTGATTCTCTCTTACTCTCCTGTGACTTTGAAAGTCAGCCCCATCTCTCTTTGTTTCTTTCTGTCTGCCTTTTGCCTAGAAGTAGCATGAAAAACTGGACAGAAAAACTTTTATTTGATCTTAGGAAGCCATTTGAAAGGCATAGTCAAAGCATTTTTCTACATCCTCCATTTAAAATATATGCTTTCCTTTCCAATGACAAATTCCTTTTTTAAAAAAGTTCACATAACTTTGTAAAAAGTCTCTTAATTCACAATGATATCCACATTTTAAAAAAATGCTTGAAAGAAATCATGTTAATGAAGTGAATATTTGCAGTAGTTTGGAGGTAATTATCAGAATCACTACATACTCGCAGAGGCTTGAACAATACGTGTTCAGAGAAAAGCAAAACACATTATTTTAATAGTCTGATATGCAAACTATGGACCGTTCAATTATGTGGCTTAATAATGCATACATGATGTGATCTTGTTATTGGGAAGGGTGGGTTTGTGGTGAGTCACTCCTAAGACCAAGAGCGCTCTCACATCCAGTAAAATCCATTGCCATGGATCAGGGGCCCATGCCAAACTACATTTAAGAGAATAAAATTTAATGACTGAGAATTTGAGCGTTAAATTAACATTAATTATATGACCTGCTTGCTGGAAAGATTAAATTTCTTACGCCCTAATTAGATAACGTCTCCTCATACATCAAACAATTTCTATTTTCATTTCCAGGTTTCAGGAATACAATGCAAAGTGCTGAGAGGCAGTAGTTGAGGATTTTCCTTCTCCGAAGTCAGAGTTTGGGGGTGTCTAGCCACCATCTCCACTGTTTTCCTTTCTTTCCTCGACTGAATCAAAATAGGAGGTCATATTAAAGAATTAAGCTCGTTCTCCACCTTGCACTAACAATGATAATTGGAGACCAGGGAGTTGGTGGGCGGTCCCCAGGTAGACCTGGAGCGTTACAGGGACCTTTTACAGCTGCCCCAAACAAGCCTAGGTCACCAGTCAACGTCTCAGTCCAGGAAACTTAAGCGGCAAGACACCTGCAAGTAATGCCCAACCAAAACGCACCACACATTCGTTTCTAGTAGAAACGCCTAAACTAGAAATGCAAGGACGAAACTTGATCCAAAGAGTGTTTGGAACAGAAAAATTGTTTTCTTGGGGGCCATGAGGGACACACAACCAAAAGCCAAGACAACAGCCCTCCTTTCCTTCGTGAAGAGGTTTACTACAGGTTTGTCAGACATTTCCTTAACAGTGCCCTGACATTTAGAAATCTCACAATACGCTGGCCACAGGCGCCCACGCCGACGCGGACAGCTCAGCGTCTGCCTGACTGTCTGGGATGAACACAGGGCAGGCCTCGGCCACAAGTGGGGAGTGAGAGAGTTTGGAGGGGATGTCTCCTCAACTTGACAACCTGTTGCTGATGGAGAGGGAGCAGGGAAAAGGGAGGAGTAGGGGGGAGCAGTACCTCCTCCCACCAGGATAGGTGGTCGGTGGTGGCACGTTCCTTCTCCCAGTTCCTAAGTTGCCACTTGGGGTACCCGGGCTCCGAAGAAAGCTGCTAAATGGACTCGATTTGGAAACTGCGCAAAGACTTACATTCTTGAGATTAGGATTCAGAGTTTCCTCCTAGATACACAGTGTGGCCCCAGTCCTCTCACATTCCCTGCGTTGCCTCCCCCTTCCTCCTAGCCTCACCTTTCCTAGGGACAGCAAATGCGGGGACCTTTCGGACAGCTGCTCTGAACTTTGGGCAGGACCGGCGGATCAAGATTAAAACCTCAAAGCGGGAGATTCTAAGTCACTCAGAATAGAGTTTTCACGTGTCAGTGTTTGAATTCAGCCACTTTCAGGCTTCTGGAGAAAAGGGCAGGCGTGCGTGAGCGCGAGTCGACGCGGTCGTAAATAGTGACTTACAAGGCAGGGGAAGGGGAGTGTTAGCAAAGTTAGCAGATACGGCAGAGGCGGGGTGGGGGGTGGCTTCTGAGTGCAGGTTTTCCATTCCTTGGGGCAGTCCGCAGGTGGAGGGAGGGTCGCCCCGGGGGGAATGCGGGGCGGGGGGTGGAGGAGGTGGCGGGAAGGGGTTCGGGACGGGGAGACACTGTCCGAGGCTCCTGGCCAGGCGGCTCCTCCCGCTGCCGACTCGCCCCTGGTCCTCTGCTGTCTGCCCCACAGCAAGAGCCAGCGCCGCGCAGCCACCGCGCACTGCGGAACGCACGCTCTGACTTGGCAGTTACTTCGCGAACTCCAAGAT
This sequence comes from Homo sapiens, assembly GCF_000001405.40. Lineage (NCBI taxonomy): Eukaryota > Metazoa > Chordata > Mammalia > Primates > Hominidae > Homo > Homo sapiens. The sequence goes on along the minus strand of NC_000006.12, from coordinate 98,824,758 downwards.
CAAGTGGAATCCGATCTCTGGGTTGGAGTGGACCTGAAAATTAGTCCGCCCCGTATTTGAGGCTGGAAAATTCCCGCCGCGGTTCCCTGCAGAGCCTGGAGCCTTGGGATTGTGGGGATGGGGAGGCGGGGCGGGGCTCCGAGGCCCGGAGAGGCGCCTGCACCCAGTCCTGCGAGAGCCAGGGGCTTCTGGAAAGACTGGCGACATTTGAAACTTGGCGCGCGCTCTCTCCCTCCCACGCTCCCTCTCCACTTTGAAGGGGTTCCGAGGGGAGGGCCTAAGGATTCAGGGTAATAAAGGTGGAGGAGAGTGAAAACGACTAGAAGATACTCCTGCCTTCCCGAACAATACATAAACCTCTCCTAAGAAGGCTCTATTTTGGCAAGGGAAACGCCTCTCCTGGCAGGTCCACAGAATCAGAACGTCTCAGCCGTTGTGGCAGGAACTTTGCAGCCCCACTACTTGGGCAGAGAGAAGCCTCCGCTCGCTCCCCACAGCTCCATCCCCCACTCTCCGCAGCGCTGTTTGAAGTGTTTCTCTTTTTCGCAGACCTGCCCCCTATCAACCCCCGCGTCCCTGAGAGCTTGCCTTTGCTCCAAATGGTTACTCCTTTTAGAAAGTGGAAAATCAATACTAGTTTAGCCTCTTCCGTAAGATGATGCACTGTCGAAACTCACAGGGAGGGAACCCGCGCCATCTGACTCTTGGGCGGACCAAAGCAATGCCCCTGCCCCTGGATAATTTACATAGAAATTTACAATGAATAATGTTCTTGGGCGCTCCTGAAAACATACTGTGGCTAGTGGCATTATTATAAGCCCCAGGACACACTTCTTACATATTCTCTAGTCGTGGTTGAAGTTTGGTAAAATGATTGATCAGAAGTTTGCACCGTGGGTGTTTATTCTTCCTGTTTTCTTAAACCGCGTCTTGGATGGTTTCCTGTCAGTTTTCAGATGCCATTTGCAGCACAAACAGATTTCATATGCCTACTGCAGATTGTCTTCAAAGTTCTAGTTTAAAGAGCATTATGTAAGCCTCTCTCTATTTACATAAGAGCTTTAACTCAAATCTCTCAGAAAACCATTTATTACCAATGGAAACCCGTCCAGGGGAGCAGCATAACCGACCTGTATCTTTATGACACTTTCAAAAACAGCAGTAGTTTATTCTTTCTGGGGGTGGGGTGGGGGGAAGTAGATGTAACAAAGAATTGGAGTACTTGCATTTTTATTCAGCTTGGTTTTGTATAATTTGAGTATTATTCTTAAGCTTAATTCAGTCAGTGGGGACTTTTATAGGATCCACTTTTTAAATTATGTGGTCAGCACTTATCTAGACCACAGAGATGGCCCTGTCTCCCTTCCTCAAGTTGAATCCTAAATGTGAGAACAAATGTCTTTTAGTTAGTAGAATCAATTAAGTATAATTTTTACTAAAACTACTAAAAGGATTCCTGAATAATGCTCACTGTAAGCCAAAGTCAAGCAATAATAAAATGTATATAATAAAGTTTCCTTTAAATTTTTTTTACCACTTTTAATATCTTCCCATTCCCCTCCCCATAAATAACCACTTTTATTTGTTTAAATGGGTATCTATCTCTCTTCCTTCTTTTGTTCCTTCATTCTTTCTTTCCATATTCTTACTAAACTTTATATATATATAGTAGGAATATTTTATATATATATATATATATATATATATAATTGGAAAGGGACCTGGAGAGATAGGAAACTTAGTTATAAGGAGTTCAAAATTGTGACAGTTTAAGGAAGGCCAATATCTTGCCCCATATCACATGGGACACTAGTTTTCAGGTATTGTTCTGTCTGTTATTGCATTAGCTGAAAAATAAATCACTTAGACATTGGCACTTAAATGTCATTAGAAAAGATCAACAAGGGTCTTGCAGACTTCTTTGCTTAATCGTTAGGCCATTAAAAGCTGGAAATACTTCAAGAGAATTCTTAGAGTCTAAGGTTCTTCCTGGTGACAGTCTTAGGTTTAAATGACCTACAGTTTCCTTGCAAACTCAAGGCCGATGCCATTCTTCAGCCATGTCTCCAACAAGGAACTTCTTTTGTTGAGAAAAGGGACTGGATTTCCAAACATCCTCTCATAGGTTGCCTGTTCTAAGATATAATTAAATGGTGGTATGGGTAGTGTTATAAAGAGAAATTGCAAATTAGACACGTTGTGCCTGGAGTGCACCACCACCCTCCAGCCCTTTCCTCACTCTTCCTATCAACCTGACCACACAGGTTCCAGACCTGCCCTTTGGGACATTTCAACCCATACAGATTCCTTCCTCTGAGGGACTCCTTACTATTGCCTTACCTGTTATCATCAACCAGATAAGGTAATAAGGTAATCAATATGAGGTGTTAAGAGATGATAAATGCTAAGAGACATTTGCCTTTTCCAAAAAAAGCTTGGAGGGTCCGTGCTATAGGCCCAAAACAATGTATCTCAGTAGTGTAACTGGATTTAAGACTGTAGTTGGCAGATGGAAAAGATATTTTAGGCTGGAGGAATTTGCGGCATTCCTAAAATATAGCCACATGGCCATGAGTCACCTTCTTTGTCCTCTCTTAAAGACCAACTCTACCTCTGTGAGCTACTAAGATATGAAATTTCTACTGTAAAAATAATGTCATTGAATTTTTATTAGTAATTGTGCAGTGTTGGAAAAGTTTTAATGGGACTGGTGTTGTATTGAAGAACTTACTTCTCCTAGTAATAGGTTGAACTGATCCCATTCTGGGGAGAATGATCCATGACTGGCCAATGAAAGTATTGCACATTATAGTGATTGGTTTAGGAAGGGCACATGACCTAAGCAGACCAATCAAGGCAACTCAACATTAGCCTCATAACTTTGGCCAGAATAGTGAGGGAAGGGAAAACTAGTTAAAGCTCTGGTTATCTTATTATACTAAGGTATATAAAGTATAAGCCTTCATCTTCTAGGAGCTCCTGTTGTGAAGACAATGTGCTTGAGGAAAACCATTGCAGAGAAAAGCAAAAGACAGAGGAAGATAAGATATAATTGAACCACTGGATTCATCTGTGCTTAAAGTGTATTCTTGGACTTTTAATTTTTTATTTATTATTATTATTATTTTTTAAGACAGATTCTGGCTCTGTTGCCCAGGCTGGAGTGCAGTGGCATGGTCTTGGCTCACTGCAACCTCCTCCTGAGCTCAAGCGATCCTCCCATGTCAGCCTTCTGAGTAGCTGGGACCACAGGCATGTGCCACCATGCCTGCCTAATTTTATTTTTTTTTTGGATCTTTTTGTAAAGAGAGTTTCACCATGTTGCCTAGGCTAGTCTTGAACTCCTGAGCTCAAGTGATCTGCCTGCCTCTGCTCCCAAAGTGCTGGGATTACAGGCAAGAGCCACCACGTCGGCTTGGATTAGGGTTATTAATACTTTAAAGTTTGGAGGAGGAGCCCCAAGGAACTAGCACTCACCTCTGAAGAGGGAGTGCTACTCAGCTAGCGCTAGTAACGCCAGGTGAGAAAAATGGTCTTGAATAGTTGAGGTTGAAACCTCAGGAGGCATTGCCAGCTGTTGCTGGTGTTTCTGAGCGGGGCAGGGTATGATGAGGCTGCTTCTGGGAGTGCCAAATAGAGTTGGAGATGGAAAGACATTGCTGCTGCCAGGATAAAGTATCATTGCTCTGGTGACACTGACAGGAAGAGCAAGCAAATAAAAAGGAACAAGTCCCTCTCTGCCCTCTCCCTGTCTTCCAGTTTCTCTCTACACTATCTTTTTGACAGATTTAACGGGTTCAGCTAACAAAGTAATCTGAAGAATTCCAGGCCTAGTTTCACAAGGCAAGATCTAGAAGGGGGAAATTTAGAGCTGAAGGACAATAGCTTAATAATATGCTTGTACACATATCAGAAAAAACCTTTTGTCCAATAACAACTTTGTGCTTCTGTTTAGTAAAATGCAACTATCTTTCAGAAGATGGTCTCACTCTCTAGCCTCCCTCCCCAAGAGGAGACTCAAGTTTTCCATAGGTGTTGTTTTCATATATAGACAATTAGTCACCTAAATAATGAATTGTCAATTTTACCACCAACAACACTCCTTATACAACACAACAGAGAGAAAAAAAGAAATAGAAATATATGTGATAAGCAAGGAAGAAAATATGTGTAGCTGCTACAGCCCATGTTTCTAGAATTGGTCACAAGACTATAGTTAATTTTCATAACCTTCTTTGTCTACTAACTGGTCTATATTTCTTTGGCTTTCAGCCATCATTTCAGCCAGTTCTTTGCCTGGCAAAAGCCCCATACTTCCATTATGAGAAGTTTTAATCCTCAGTTATTCTCTGTTTTTTTTTAATTTCTTTAGTATTCTTTTAACTTTTAGTCTTATAAATGAAAATTCTGAGAGGCATCCCAGTGAGTCCTCTGGTTTTTCCTCCACCTGTATTATATAGCTGTAGCCAAATTCTCCTTGCTAATCAGGATCAACCACCACAGTCATTAGAGTAATCCCCTTCTTTGCCTATTGGCTCAGTGGCATGAAGATCCTAAAATAGACAGGTGACAGTCTCAACTTTCAGTTCAGTGGAACAATTGTTATGTCTGCTTGTAGAAGTTTTCTTTCTGTGGGAATTAGAACCTCTAAACCAGAAGAGCACCAACTTGTGGGGAATGGAAAGCAAAACTTCTGCTACCGGGTTACCAGATGGAACAGTGACACTGACTACTAGACTCCTGCATTCTGGCCATGGGAGAAACAGCACCATATGTTGGCCACTGATTCAAAGCATATGATGGCATTTTATAAGACATAGCCCCAAACTTTTAGGATATTCTTAACTGGAATGATAATGATTCTTCATAGATCATTTCATCATTTTGTCAGTCCAGTGCATAAGTGATGGGATACTGTGATACGACCAGTGAATTCCATGGACATAAATTCATTATTGTACTTCTTTGGTTGCTCTGTTAAGGTTTTTGGTCAAAGGTAATATTGCGTGGAATTAAATAATGTTGCACAGAATACAGTGACTTAATACTGTGTGGAATTAAACGATGTTGCACAGAATATAGTGACTTAGACTTTCTATAAGTCCATGATGGTGGTGCTGTTGGAAGCAGTGAGAAAAGAGAAGGAAAACCCATTTCTAGACTACCTGTACATTACAGTTCGAACTAATTGTTGTTGTATATATGAGGCAAGGTATCCAGTGTAATCAATATACCACAAAGTTGCTGGCTGCTATTCCCAGGGAATGGTGTCATTTGGGGACTTAGCACTGGTCTCTGTAGTTTATGCATTCTGCAATGGCAGCCAAAGATCAGCCTTGATGAAAAGAAACCCATGCTGTTGAACCAATGCATAGCTTCCACCCCTGCTATCATGACTGTATTTCACATTCATTCAGCAAGCACCCGAGTGGCTAGGGAAGAGGCCGCCTGGTATCTACAAAACATCTTATTTTTTAAACTCGATCTTGATTATTGAGAGCGTTATCTGCAGTGGATGACTTTGGGTGAACATATGTCTTTGCACTCCATGTGGAATCTATTCACAAATAACTTCTTCAGTATTTCTTGCCATTTGTGCTCTGATCTTGTTCTTAACCATCAAACCTAACCAGTGGTTATTAGCCACTGCCTATGAATCAGTGTCGATCTATATTTCTGGCTATATCCAGTCCTGAGAAAGGAGGTGATACACGTTGGATGTTTGTCCCCTTCAAACTTCATGTTGAAATGTGATCCCTAATGGTAGAGGTAGTGCCTAATGGGAGGTGTTTGGATCATGGGGGTGGATCCCTCATGAATAGCTTGGTGCCCTTCCTATGGTAATGAGTGAATTCTCATTCTATTAGTTATCATGAGATCTGACTGTTAAAAATTCTGGCACCTCCCCACTCTCTCTTGCTTCCTCTCCTTGTCTTGTGCCTTCTCCCTTTTCTCTCCCTTTGCCTTCCACCATGATTGTAAACTTCCTGAGGCTTCACCAGAAATTGAGCAGATGTTAGTGCCATGATTGTACAGGCTGCAGAATCATGATCCTAGTAAACCTCTTTTCTTTATAAATTACCCAGCCTCAAGCATTCCTTTATAGCAATGCAAAACAGACTAACACAGGGGGCAACCAAAGGTACTCTTCTAATTTCTTTCTTTTAGAAGGATTTCCCTTCCCCACTGTCTTTCAGGGACACTCCTGATTAGGGCTATAATATTGCAAGTATCTACTTCTAATAAATGGTCCATGCCCATTCAGGATTTCCCTGTATTTAAATCAAAGTCAACTGATTAGAAACCTTAATTATATCAGCAAAACCCATTTACCTTTGCCTTATAACATAATCACGGAACTGATATCCCATCACATTCAGAGGTCCCATCCACAGTGAAAGGGAGGTTAATTATACAATAATGTGGATCAGTGGAGGTCACTCTACCATATTATCATCCCATTTTTAATAACATTTTCACTTAACATTATGTCTTTCATATCCACCTATTCTTTTTAATATTTATATCTATCGTACTGAATCTAATTGCTATATGGTTCCTCATTACAAGCATCTGCCACGGTTTACTTTTCTTCTCTCAGTTATGAACACTCAGCTTCTATTAATAACTTGTTGCCACTACAAATAATTCTACAATAAACAGATTATTGTATGTCCCTTTCTGAACATATGTAATAGTTTTCTCTCTATATATAATCAGATACCCAGGGGGGATTTTTTATTTTTTGGCCTTGCAAGGTGTTCAAATACTTAATTTGACTGAATAGTGTGCCAAATTGTTTACCCAAATGGGTACACCAGTCTACATTTACACCAGCAGTGTATGATGATCCCTCTATTCCAGGGAGACAATGTGATTTATTGTTCAACTGGGGACGCTTTTGACAATAAAAGCAGGTGCTAATAATTATGCTGAACAACAAGTGCAAACCAGGACTGTCTCAGACAAATTGGCATATATGGCTACCTTGCTGTATCCCCACACCCTTGCCAAATTGTTGTTTTCCATTTTTCTAATTCCTGTTAGGCAAATAGGTATGAAGGTGTATCTCCATTATTTTATTTTATTTTTCTCTCATTATGTTTGAGAATCCTTTTGTATGCTTTCTAGGCTGTGGCATTTTATTTTCTTTAAATTACCTGCTTATATTTATTGCCCATTTTTCTTTGGTTGAGATTGCTAAAGACATTTTTTTACATTCTAGAAATTAGTAAGTATCAATTGTAAACACTGGTGATACAATCACCCTTTCTACTTCTGTTAACATTATCCAAGATATCCTTTATTGAACAGAAATCTTTAATCTTAATGTAATCACATGCATCAGTGTGGTAGATACAGTGGTGTATGGTTCAAATCCCTCTTCAAAGAGAGATTTATTACCTTGGCTACTGGAGGTGCTATTTGCAGACAGACTTTAATTTTCAGCCACGAATTGTCTCAGCTGGATGCCCAATTCTATTCTATTAGTCTATATGTTGATCCTTATGCCAGCACCATACTATCTTGATTACTGTAGCTTTGTACTATAAGTTTTAAAATTGGGAAGTGTGAGTTCCCCAACATTGTTCTTTTCAAGACTGTTTTGGATATTCTTTGTTCCTTGCAATTCCAAATGCATTTTAGAATCAGTTTGACCATTTCTAAAAATAATGCAGTCAAAATTTTGATAGAAATTTAATTGAATCTACCTATCAATTTGGGAAGTATTGCCATATTCACAATATTGTCTCCCTATCCATGAACATGGGATATCTTTTCATTTATTTAGGTCTTCTTTAATTTCTTTCAACATGTTTTATAGTTTTCAGTGGACAAATCTTGCACTTTGGTTAAATTATTTCTAAATACTTTACTGTTTTTGGTGCTATTGTAAATTAAATTGTTTTCTTAATTTCATTTTCAGATGGTATATAGAAATGCAACTGATTTTTATATGCAATTATGTACTACATAATAATGTTTAGGTCAATGTTGGACTGCATATACAATGATGGTCCCAGAAGATTATAATAGAGCTGAAAAATTTCTATTGCCTGGTGATGCCATAACCATTGTAATGTCATAGTGCAATCCATTACCTTTTCTATGTTTAGATATGATACACAAATACTTACAATTGTGTTACATTTGCCTACACTATTCAGTAGAGTAATATGCTGTACAGGTTTGTAGAGTAGGAGCAATAAGCTATACCGTCTAGACTAGATGTGTAGTAGGCTATATCATCTAGGTTTGTATAAGTACACTCTATGATGTTCACACAATGAGAAATCATCTAATGATGCATTTCTCAGGGAGTATCCCTGTCATTAAGTAACTATGACTGTAATTTATTTTATATGATCTTGTATCCTGAAACTTTGCTAAACTCATTTATTAGCTCTACAGTTTTTTTTTGTAGATTTATTATGGTTTGTACATATAAAATCATGTCATCTGTGAACAGAGATAATTTTATTTGCTCCATTCCAATATGGATAGTTTTGATAGTTTTTTTCTTTTTTTTTCCTAGTTGCTGTGAGTAGTACCACCAGTACAATGTTGAACAGAAGTGGTGAGAGTGAGTATCCTTGCCTCATTCTTGATCTTGGGGGACAAATTTCAGTCTTTCATCACTAAATATGATGTTAGATGTGTGTTTTTAATAGATGTTCTTTATCAGATTGAGAAAATTCCCATCTATTTTTTTCTGTTTAATGTTTTTAATCTGAAATGGTGTTGGATACTGTCAAATGATTTTTTAAAATATTTATTGAAGTAATCATGTAATTTTTTTCCCTTTATTCTATTATTGTGGTGCATCAGTTGATGTTCACAAGTTGAACTAACCTTGCATTCTTGGGGTAAATCCAAGTTGGTCATGGGGTATAATCCTTTTTATATATTGCTGAATTTGGATTGCTAGTATTTGCTCAGGATTTTCACATCTATATTCATAACAGATATTGCTCTGTAGTTTCTTTTCTTGTGATATCTTTGTCTGGCTTTGGTATTGGGATAACAGTGACTTCATGAAATGAGTTAAAATGTAGTTCCCACTCTTCTGTCTTTTGGATGCATTTGAGAAGGGTTTATGTTAATTTTTCTTTAAATATTTGGTACAATTCACCAGCGAGTTTTTCCCATTATTTATGAAGGTCACTTTGCATGGTTTCAGCTTAGTCATTTTTACATTCTCTCACTGCTGTGCAAAGTACATACTGCATGTGTGTGTATGTGTGTTTTACGATTTTTAAGAGTAGACCCCGCACAAGGCATATATTCAGTTCTCAGTATATACATATCAGAATAACTTTGAATCTATCCTTATAGCTGACCCAGTAAGATCTGCTCATCTAGTAACCTTGCTAAGTTCAACTGGGCCATCAGTCTTGCCATCCTAGGCATCCACATAATGACATTATTGCATAATGGGATGTCAAAATTCCAGTAGTTGAAACCAGTGACTCTCTAAGGAAAATAAATCAATGTATTGTATACATGTAGTTACCTGTAAAATCATCATCATTCAAATATTTGGCTGTCTTTATGTTTTGACCTTTATTTTATATTTTGCTTTCATACCAATTGGTACTGGGTCACATACAGAACTTCTTGTAAACATTTCCTTTTAAACATCATAATAATTCCATCAAAACATTTCATGAGTATGAATTTACCAATATGTATAAATAAATAATGAGAAAATAAATAAATATATACACTGCACCTTTTAAGCTATTTGCTATGCTGAAGAAATAATTTTGCTGAATAAATCAGTAAACATTTCACCAATGGGCATCTCTGGCTTTGTCTTGCAGAGTTCAGGAACATTGCAGCATTTCTTAGACCAGGGGAGCAAGCAAATCTTACCTAATTCACACTGCATGGGGAATATAAGAACTAGCATGCACTGAAACTGGAAACAGACATTACTGGCTGCACAAAACTGTTTATAAGAAATGGCCATCCAGTAAATAATGCATTGCTGACATTAGTGTCTCTGAGCTATGAGAGGGCCTTCCTTGGGTGATATGCTCAACTCTTCCAGGAGAGTCCAAGAAAGTCCAGATAAAAGCCAAAAAAAATTGGAAACATACAAACAAAGTCTATTTTTTAAAATATGTCCATCTACATAAAGAACATTTTGAATTTAATTAACCAAGAAAATTATTTTCTCCTTTCTTCATGTTATTTTATTTCAACAAAAAATTGAACTCTTAATATATACCAAGCAATGCAAAGGTGAATAAGACACTGTGAGAGGAGATGAGTATAGAAAACAATTAAGACCCTATGGTTCTCATTCTCTATGAGTTTACAACCTACTGGGGGAAGATGGATAGGTAAGTATTACAATGTTCTGTGTGACATCTTTCACTCAATCACTCACTGAATTTACTCATTTATTTTATTTAACATGCTTCCTGTGTGCTAGATACTGTGCTAAACCTCTAAAGCGGGAGTTCTCCTAGACCTTGCTCACACGGAAATTACCTGGAAGCTTTTAAGTTTCTCACTCTCAAAGATAATTATTTAAATGGTTTGAGAGCAACTTAGGTACTGGGAGTTTGAAACTCTCCCAAGGTTATTCTAATGTGCAGCCAAGGTTGAGAACTGCTTTTTTTTTTTTTTTTTTTTTTTTTTTTTGAGACGGAGTCTCACTCTGTCACCCAGGCTGGAGTGCAGTGGTGCGATCTCGGCTCACTGCAACCTCCGCCTCCCGGGTTCATGAGATTCTCCTGTCTCAGCCTCTCGAGTAGCTGAGACTACAAGTGCCCACCACCACGTCCAGCTAATTTTTTGTATTTTTAGTAGAGACGGGGTTTCACCATGTTAGCCAGGATGGTCTCGAACCCCTGACCTTGTGATCCACCTGCCTCCACCTCCCAAAGTACTGGGATTACAGGCGTGAGCCACTGTGCCTGGCCGAGAACTGCTTTAAAGAGATCAAGACTCTTTCTTTCTCCAGGAAACTCATAAACTCATAGGAGGAACAGACAAGTAGCCAGATGATTATAATCCAGTGTGAAAAGCCTTACGGATAGAGGAGAGTATGGGGAGCTACGGTCCTTCTTCCCATTTTACAGATGAAGAACCTGAGGATCTCAAATTTCAACAGATTTTCCCAACAGCACAGATTGAGTAGGTGATGGAGCCATGATATAAACCTAGATTAGTCAGACTTGACTTATCTAAGCCACTGCACTATGCCTCCCAAAAGAACAAAAAAGAAAAAATAAAAACCAAGACTATTTAATTATTTTATAAGGAAATTCGGTGTTCTTGTATCTTTAAATATAGAAAACTACTCACATGACTTTCTAAATATTTGCATGTGAAGAACTATAACAGCAATAAATAAAAAAAATACTTTTATGATTCCATGTTCTCAAAATATTTACTGAGCTAGATATTTCTCATATAAGGAAATTCTGCATAGGCTATATTTTTATATCATTATTCCTGTGTCTATTAGAATGTCCATCTAACACAACTGGGCAATGTTTATTATTCTCATGAAAATATGATAATAGTAAATATAATTTGGGAATTTAGGGTAGAGGCCTCTTTGATAATCTGACCCACAATGATTAAGCCTTGAAGTATATACCACTATGTAATTTGGACGTCTCTCAGGCCTTTTCAAAACCGCCATTCTAGTTTTAGGCTTTTTTTGCTTTTTCAGAGACTTCACAGCATCCTCTTACTTTTTAAGCAGGAAACTGTAAATATCTGAATGCAAAGTTTCTCTTTAAATTATTCTATTTTAGTTTTTATTTTTTATAGTTTTTCTTTAGGAAAACTTTTGACTGTGGAAAAACATCTCAGCTCATCATAAAAAGGGTATACGCAGGCAAAAAGCAGAAGAACTTTTCTACATTTTGTACTGATGTTTTATACATCAGTGAGGCTGTGCATGGCATGTCCAAATTGAAAAGAAAAAACTGAAGCAGCATCTCTGCGATGTCCATCTGGAGGTTTCCTGAGTAAGGATTATTAGCCAAACTCTAGAAGAAACCCTAGCCCTTGCCAAAACAAGGCTGGAGCTGCAGCTGACAAAAAGAAGTTTGAAATAAAGCAGAATTTTATTATTTTAACTAGATTTCAGTAGCAATCTAGTTAAAACAAGAAATTTTAGGTGGGATTCAACTTCTAAAAGTGAATTTTAAAAAGAAAAAAAAACCTCAGTGATGCAAATACTTCATGGGAGAATAAACATTTACAAGCGTCATTGAGATATTTAATAGTTATAATATATTAGAATGCCTTTGATTCAGAGATTTCAGAATGTCTGGAACTTAAAAATACCACAATGATTCACATTATGTGTATCTGTAGGGGTTCTTTTAATGTCTTGTAGCTGTTTCATTTTTATCCATGATTTTCTATTGAGGTTCTATTGAGCTCATTGTATGAAAAGGTCCTATAAAGTTCAAGACAAATTTTCTCTTGTAGATCTCATTTTATAAGAGTAATAAGAAATAGTTACGGCTTTTGGTCATTACGTATAATACGAACTTTAGTTATTTCTATCCATGGATTTATATATGTAAACCAGCTTCTTTCTGGGCCACACCAAAGAAGCAGGTGTCTTTCTTTTTTTGGTATCTCAAAGAGACTGGGCCCTGCATAAAATTTAACATGGGTAACTCAGCATGAAATACCCCACTCTGGGCATTTGATTCTGAGGAAGCAGTTTATGGAGGTTGGAAAGGGCTATTCCAAAATATAAGGTTATATATGTGATATAGAACTTGTCTTATATGCAAATTATGTGTTTGTATTGGGATGTTGTATTGTTATGTTACTATTGTGTATGGCTGTCTGTAGCAGAAAAGATTCAAATAATGATTCCCCACGCCAAACCCACTGTATTAACAATAAAAATGTCCTGTTATCCTATATACCAAGAAATTCTGAGATAAGGTAGCTCCAGCATTGTTAATTTGTTGGCTCATGGACTCATTCAGAACTCAGGTTCATCCCATTGTGTTTTTCTCCGCTATCTCTTGTTTTGTCCTTGGCTGGTTTTCCTCAGGGTTACAAAAATGGCTGCTAGGGTCCCAGGAATAGCATGCAGATACTATAATGTCCAATAGTAGGAGAAGGGTCATTCATCCCATATGTCTCTTTATTTGGATATTAACTTTTTCTGAAGTCTCCAGCAGACTATGTCTATAGATTGGAACTGAGTGATATGTTCATGCCTAAACCAGTTGGTAGCAAAGAAAACAGGATCATCCTAATTGTATTCTTAATCAGGATTTACCTTGAATCATATAGGGAAGATGGACAGTTGAGTTAAATTGGGACCACTTCTGGTAAGGAGGAAGGGTGGTTGCTTGTTGGACAAAAACGAATGACTCCCTGTGAAGAATAAAGAAAGTGATGGAGAGAGAGTGAGAGAGAAAAAAATAGTTCACGAAAATCAAGCTCAGAGATGATTCTCTATGGGAACAGATGGGACTTACAGCTATAGGAAGCAGGTGGCAACAGAGGAGATGGACTTTATTTTTAGCCACCCTAAGTGGGCCTCTATGCACATCAGGTCAGGACTGTGGGTAAAACAGCAAGGGCCTCTGGAAGCCTCCTTGTACTGGTCATTGAGTTATTGTCAATTTTGTTTTTTCTTTTTAAAAACAAATTAAGATGATTTTTACAATTAAAGCTTACAAGCTGTGGGTGCAGTGTATAAGTAACTTGCTTAGGTTAGCATGATAAATTGGATTATTCCCTTTCCCCAAAGAGCCTGGAAACAGAAAGGGGAGTGGTCTGGAGTGCATGCCCAATTTTCCCCATCAGCCATCCATTCATCCATCCATCCATTCTTTCCTTCACAAATACTTATTGAGCACCTATGTGCCAGGCATCATTTTAAGCTCTATAGTTAACCCTGAATTAAGTATGGAAAGTCTTTGTCCGCATGGAATTTAAAGTCAGTGGGAACGGACAATAAACAAACAACCAAATAAATGTATAAAGAACAGATGGTTATAAGTTCTATGAAGAAAAATAAAGCAATGTAAAGTAGAGGTGTAGTGAGTTTGGTATTTTATATGATGTGCTCAGGGAAGGTCTTATTAAAAGAGTATTTAATTGGAGACCTGAAGAAGGGAGTGGTCATGAGAATATCTAAGGGTAGAATGCTCCAGATAAAGGGAAAAATATGAAGATCCTGAAGTAGAAGGTTGCTTGGAGGCTAAGAAGGACAGTGTGATTGGAGCAGAGAGGAAGAAGAGAAGTAACAGAGGATGAGCTCAAAGAAGTAACAGGAGCCAGATCATACAGGGCATTGTAGGCCAGTGGTTCTCAGAGTGTGGTCCCCAGACCCACAGCATCAACACAACCTGGAAACTTGTTAGAAATGCAAATGTTGGGCCCCATCCAGGCTTTCTTTAATCAGAGCATCTGGGTGGAGTCTAGAAATCTGTTTTAATAAGCCTCTAGAAAGTTTGAGAACGAGTGTTGTAGGCTATTGTAAAGATTTTGGATTTTATTCTGTGTGGAATGGGGTTATATTGGAGGGTTTTGAGCAAAAAACCCATAATCAGATTTTCATTTAAAAATGATCACTCTGGCTGCTTTGTTAAAAATAAACTATAGAGAAACAAAAGAAAGAAGCGAATAAATCAGTTGCAGATTACTATAATAGTCTGAGCAAGAAGTGATGGTGACTTGGGCTAGAATGGTGGTGACAAGTGGTCGAATTCTGCATGTATTTTGAAGTGAGAGTCAATGGGAATTGCTGATGGATCATATGTAAAATAAGAGTTAGCAGGTATATAGGTATAACTCCAAAGTTTTTAGCCTGAGCAACTGCAAGGATGGAATTGCTCCTTATTGAGATGTGGAAACTGTAGGGGAAGAAAGTTTAAGGGCTAAAATCAGGAGTGCATTTTGGTCATGTTAAATTTTAAAATGGCTATGCCAAGCAGGCAGTTCAGGGGAGTGGTTTGAGCTGGAGATAAAAACTAGAGAGTCGTCAGGGCATGTGTGATATTTAAAACCATGGCCTGGATGAGATCATCTAGAGGATGAGTATAGATGGAGAAGATGCCCTAGAGCTGAGATCTGAATATTTAGAGGCTGGAGGAGGTGAGGAACTAGCAAAGGAGACTGAGAAGGAGTAAACAGTGAGATTGGAGAAGAAAGGAGAAATGGTGCCCTGGAAACCAAATTCAGATTCAAGAAAAAGAGAGTGAGGCACTTGCCTTGGGTACAAAATTTAACAGGGGAACCAAGAAATTCAGTAATCAAGATAATCGATATCGTAATATAACATTAAACAATACAAATTATTAAAAAATCTATGATAAAATGTAGGGAATTATCTCTTATGAATCCCTTAAAACTTGGAGGATATCAGCCTGGAGTTGTCATTTTCATAAATTTTTTTTTTTTTTTTTTAGTTTTTTTATTCCTGAAAGTAAGTGGCTATTAGGATCATTTGTCATTTGATCCTAGCCATTTGATTTTTTTAGTTTAGTCAAATTAGCAAATGTCATAATTAAAATATAGTCAAATTAAATGTTTTATGTGATATGTTAGCTAAATAAATATACACTGATTAAATTTTTCATATTTCAGAGAATGATCTTAGTGACAGGTAAACCCAACCAGAGCGTGTGCCTTGGATGCTCTTTTTTCTTCCTTATTTTCTGCTATTATCATAGAAACCCTGCTATGAGAATGGGCTGAGGAAGTGCAGCCAAAGTGAGTCAGGGCCAGCCTGCCCATGGGAGCCTGAGCATTTCAAAGAAGTTGGAAGGTAGGAGCAAAATCTTAGGGCTATGCTAGATGACAATGCGGGGCATACACAATGCTGAGGAACTTACAGAAGTGTCGCAGGGCTAGACTAGTACAGACACAAAAGTTCTGCTTGAGAAGGGTCACAAACTGCTAGCCTGGGTTTCAAAGTGCCAGAATATACATATATTTTTTTGGAAACCACTAAGATGTCCATCTTTAAGGGAAACTATTCAAATCTCCGGTCTCTTAGAGATGATTCATCTCTAAGTCATTTTATACTTTTGAAATTTGTCAGTGATATAATGGGAGCAAAGTTTTTCCTGAGAGAAGACATAGGCTGTTTGTTTCTTGCAAAGGAAGTGAAAAATGAGGAAACCATCTGGCATTTGCTCAAAATATCTAGATAATTGAGGCCAAAGTATCTTTAAGCTTAATTTTACATCAATGAACATCCTTTATGACCCTTCCACGTTTGCTATGTAGAAAATATCTTAAGGAAAGAGTCTGAAATTTACTAACAAGAATTTTGAAATACAATGGTTATTAAGACTATTGGATTGTGTTCTCCATTATCCCTAGCAATTCTGCTGTCCTTGAATTTAATATATGTGTGTATATATATACATATTAATTAAAGAGACGTTCTTTAAGAATGTTTATATATTAAAAACTTCTGCTTTTATTAAAAATTTCATAGCATTGATCAGATATCTTCCACAGGTGATGTGATCTCTCTGCTATCTCTCAAAATTTGCATTTCAAAGCTGATTGATGGACTTTGTGAGGTGAAGTTGATGTCCTTTCTGTACAACAGAGTTGTAGGATGAATCTCTGCTGAAGAAAGATTATTTACTCCCGAGGTTATTTCATAAATTTAGTTTTGCATTTCTAAATTGGAATCATATGTTTTCTACCACATCTGAAAGCTCTGTTATTAAAGCTCACATTTCTTGGGAAAAAGGATTTAAAAGACATTTAATAGCTAGGATTCTTCTTCTCCATAAGTGTATATAGTATTGTTTTATTATTCCTTAAGAAATACGATTATTTGATGATATTTTTCACGAAGTCAAGGGATGCATACTACCTTTCATTCCTAGTTTTAGTCTGGGTATAGATCACTTTTTGTTTTACTGAGAATAAATTAAAAAGATTTGGGAAACACTGTAACTTCCTAAAGAAAAATGTTTATTTATGAGAAAATAATATTAATAGTCAAGCAAATTTGAAATCACTGCATCAAAAATGTGCCAGTATATTTAGCTGGGTTCTATAATTCTTGTTATTGGCTAGTGTGTAAAGTTTGCTGTCACTTTTGCATCAAAATTTTCTTTAAATTACATCATCCTAAATGATATGGAAAGATTATATGTCATGTCTTCTATTTATTTAAAAAAACTTTTTAGAGACAGTCTTGCTATGTTGCCCAGGCTGGGTTCCAGCAATCCTTGCCTCAGCCTCCTTAGTAGCTGGGATTACAGGTGCATGACACCTCACCTGGCTGTCATGTCTTTTAAAATTTAGAATTGGATGATTCAATGAGGGCCTAGATTTGAAGCAAGCAATTTTACCCAGAGCAGTACAAATACAGAATTTTATGGTTTTGCTGGGAAATATATAATAAGAATTATATGACAGGAACTTAGTTTTGGACTTTTTATTTTATATTTTAAAAATATATTCCCACTCCTCCTCCTCCAATTTCTCCTCCTTTTTGACTGTATGTTCAACTTGATTTTGAACAGAAATGGTAGAAACCACTATAGTTAATTAGCGAAACTGGAGATGAGCAGTGGTTTTCCTTAGTTGAAGAATTAACACGATTCCTAATTTATATTTCTCTTCCTTAAGCCATTCCTTAACTAGCCACCAACTGAAAATAACTGTGGGTTATTTTGAATGAAATTTGCTTATTTTTTCTATGTCTTAAAAAACCTGATTTAGAAAGACCAGGTTTACCTTTCTACTTTAAATAACTAAAATGGGCCAGGCGTGGTGGCTCATGCCTGTAATTCTAACATTTTGGGAGGCTGAGGCAGGCAGACGACGAGGTCAGGAGTTCAAGACCAGCATGAACAACATGGTGAAACCCTGTCTGTCCTAAAAATACAAAAAGCAGCCAGGCGTGGTGGCGCGCGCCTATAATCCCAGCTACTCAGGAGGCTGAGGCAGGAGAATTGCTTGAACCTGGGAGGTGGAGGCTGCAGTGAGCAGAGATTGCGCCATCACACTCCCTCCAGCCTGGGCGACAGAGCGAGACTCCATCTCAAAAAACAAAAACAAAAACAAAAACAAACAAACAAACAAAAAAACAACCTATAAAACTGGGGGAAAAATGAAAGAAGAATTTTCAAGACATTGACATCAGGCAATGAAGGACAATGATTGCTGAGAGATGGGAAACTAAAGAGGTGGGTTCTATGACTCAGCCTCAGCTGACTGCCCAGAGAGAGTTTCAAGGCCACTGCACAGGGCAGGAGGATCCAAGTGGATTTTGGGAGTCTATCTGAATTCTATACTCAGAGAAAATATTTTTAAAAAACAATGGCAAGATCAGGAAATCAGATATGTGAGGCCTGGAAGCATTTATTCCTAGTAGAATTATACTGTAAGAAATATTCATGGAAGTCTTTCAGGCAGAAGGAAGGTGATAATAGATGAAAATCTGGATTTATAGAAAAAAATAAATGCTACAGGATCAGTAACTATGTAGACAAATATATTTCAATCTCTTTAAGAGATAATTAACCATTTAAGGCAAAATAATAATGTGTTTTGTGGTTTATGACATAAGCAGAAGTAAAACATCTAAGAATAATAGAAAAAAGGGCAGGGAAAAGAGAAATAAAAGCATGTTGTTATAAGGTTTTTATATTCTCCATGAAGTGGTATAAATGTTATTCAAAGGTATACTGTGATAAGTTACAGTACAAACCGTAATGCAATCACTAAACAACAGAGCAAAAGGCCTTATCTAGCAAATCAACAAAAGAGATAGAGGAAATCATGAAAACTACCCAATTAATCCAAAGGCAATTGGACAATGAGGAAAATGGGAACAAAAAACAGATGGGACAAACAGCAAGCAAATAGCAAATGGTAGACTTAAACCAAATATTTCTTATTACACTAAATATAAATGATCTCAATATTCAATTTAAAAAGCAGATATTGTCAGATTAGATAAAGCAAGACCCTACTTGTATAGAAGAAACACAAAGTATAAAGTCAAAAATACATTACAAGTGAAACTAATGATCAGGGAAATGCAAATCAAAACCACAGTGTGATACCACCTTACTCCTGCAATAATGGCCATAATAAAAAAAAATAGTAGATGTTGATGTGGATGCAGTGAACAGGAAACACTTCTACACTGCTGGTGGGAATGGAAACTAGTGCAACCACTGTGGAAAACAGTGTGGAGATTCCTTAAAGAGCTAGAAATATAACTACCGTTTGATCCAGCAATCCTACTACTGGGTATCTACTCAGAGGAAAAGAAGTCATTATGCAAAAAAGATACTTGCATATTCATGTTTATAGCAGCACCATTTGCAATTGCAAAAACATGGAACCAACCCAAATGCCCATCAATCAACGAGTGGATAAAGAAGCTATGGTGTCTCCCTCTCTCTATACATGTGATGAAATACTACTCAGTCATAAAAAGGAATGAATTAATGGCATTTGGAGCAACCTGGATGAGATTGAAGACTGTTATTCTAACTGAAGTAACTCAGGAATGGAAAACCAAACCTCATGTTCTCACTCATAAGTGGGAGCTAAGATATGAGAATGCAAAGGCATAAAAATGATGCAATGGACTTTGAGGACCCACGGGGAAAGGAAGGAAAGTGGATGAGGGATAATAGACTACAAACAGGATGCAGTGTATACTGCTCAGGTGATGAGTGTACAAAAATCTCACAAATCACCACTAAAGAACTTACTCATGTAACCAACACCACCTGTTCTCCAATAACCTATGGAAATTAAAAATATATATATATTTTATATATATATTTTTTTATATATATATATATACACACACATTACAAGTGAAAGGATGGGAAAAGATATACAATGCTAATTAAACAAAACTTGGAGTAATTATATTAAAATCAGACAAAGTGCCATTAAGAGAGACAAATCACCTGGAAGAGAAATAGCGTATTCATTCCTTTATGTGAGTCTAAAATAAAAATATTATAAAGACTGAACTTTGTCCTGATCTCACTCAGCAATGTAATTCTTTAATAACAGTTTTTAAAACTGTAGATATAGCATGTTGCTCTATGTATATCTTTCCATTAAAATGCTCTCTTTTCAAGGCTGAAAGAGACAGAGATAGGGAGAGAGAGGGAGAGCGAGAAGAGTTTGCATCAAAGCAAGCACAAAAACACGGAATGAATTCTGGCTATACAGCTGATTTGAGTGAGAAGAATAGACAGGGACAGTTTTCTTTCTTTTCTCATGAGGATCCCTCCTCTTTTCATTTTTTTTCTCCTTGGAGTTCTACAAATGCTGTGAGCTTCCTCCCAAGCATGTGTAGGTAACCTCATTTCACTTGATGGTAAGTTCACCTTTTCAGTTGCTTAGGCTAAGAGCCTTCGTATCATCCTTGAATCTTCTTTCACATGCCTAATCTTATTGTATGTCTTGTTCCTTCCTTCTTCAAAATATACCCAGAATACGGCATCTTATCACCTTCATTCCAACCACGTGGTTTGAGCCACTATCCTTTCCCCAGTCACTGCAATGATCTTTTATATGGATTCCCTGCTTTTGCCCTTGCCCCTCAGTAATATGCTTTACCCCTTTAATGTCAAATCATGTCCTCTTCTCTTCCACACGCCTCCTCCCCAACCCCCTGATTCTCTCTTCTTTGTAAAATCTGATATCCTTACAATGGCCCATAAAACCCAGAATAATCTCGTCCCCCATTTCTCCTCTGCCATCCTCTTCTACTCTTCCCTTTGTTCACTCTGCTCTGATCACTGGCCTCAGTTTTGTTCCTCCAATGCACCCTGATGCTAACCTCTTTAGGGCTTTACACTGACTATTTGCTCTGCCTGGAGCACTTTACTCCCAGATATCCTCATAGTTAACTCTTTCACCTCACTCAGATATCTATTAAATGTTAACCTCTTAACGAGGTCTATTTGAAACCCTCCCTCCTCATTCCCTAACTCTGCTTACTCTATTGTATATGGTAGCATTCATTTCCTTCTAACCTACTGTCTAATTTACTTATTTATTATGTTTATTATTTATTATCAGTCTCTCCACACTGGTATAGAAGGTCTGAAAGCTGAGATTTTTGTCTGTTTGGTTCACTGATGCATTCCAAGACCCTAGAATAGTGCCTAGTGCAAAGTAACTCAATATTTTTTAATGATTGAATGGCTATGCTCAGGAAAGAATAAAGGACATTGTCAGAAAAAACCTAGCATGTTTCATCTTTTCTATCAAACTGTCTTCCACAGTGCCACATGAATCTTAATTTATATGATCAGTTGGCAAACATCTAAAGATGGCACTTTGGCAGATGAGAGAGTGACCAAAGATTTTGGCTATACCTAAAATTGTTTTATTTTTGTTATATGTCTAAGGTAGAAGGATTCTATTGTTTCTATTTGAATGTAATTCTTGTACAGCTCAGTTAAATGGCTAATGCATTTTTAGGTTGTTTGGTCTAAGGGGGTGAAGTTTTATCTGCCTATTGTCAATTGTCAGTCATGGGGGAAGGAATTACATCTCTTAAAACAAAAAGTTTCTCTGGGTTTTTGAGTTCTTGAGAATCACTCTTAGCATTTAGCAGAAGGCCTGAATGTGTGTAACTGGTAGTTCCTTTGTAGAGAGTTTTAAAATGGCACCCCTCACATGAAGAGAGATTTTGAACAAGAAAATAAGCTGCTGAAGCACTGATGTACTTGAGAGTGGTTTCACTGGACACATACGCATATGTGCACACACACGCATCCTGGCGTGAAAAGATCTCTCACTCCCACTATCATACTCTCCACTCAGGACAGTTGTAGAACAGGATGACAGAACAAGTAAAGCTGAGATCAAAGTCAGCCATGGTAGGAGATGACCATTCTCTTTTAGGCTTTGAGTTTTGTTTAAAGGAGAGAGAGTTTCTTCAATACCTTCCTCAGCTCTGGTTGACATTTGTAGTTTGAATTTGCTATGCATTTACCTTGTGCTCTGTGTAACGTGCTATGTTTGAAGTAACCAAGAGTTATAATTGCATTGTCTTGCTCTTTATTGCAGTTCATCTCCCTGTTTGATGTGGTGGCTGTATTATCCTTTGAGCTTATCAAGGACTGGAGCCATATGCTCTATTTCTTTCATAGTCTCCCATTACAATAGTGTTACTTGCAAATGACCTAGGCTGTAGCAGCAGCAAACACAGTGGCAGGACTAACCACATCAACTGCCATTTATTAATCATCTGCTGTGTAACAGGAAATACACTAGATGCTTTACAAACTTGTAAAAATATGTTGTTGTATTATCTTTTATTTTCTATTGTTTTCTCAGACCTCATGACAATTTATCTGGAGGAGACATATTTGCTTTTTACCTTCCATATTCAATACAGAGAATGGACAGGGACAGGAATAGGGGTGACAGGGACAAGAGTGTAGAATGTGTAGAGTCACTACCAGCTAATCCGCAAATAGAAAATAGATTTACTCTGTGGCCCGAGAAACAGAGCAATAAGCTGTGAGTTTGGCTGACGGAATTTCACAGGGAGCCCTTTGGCTAGTGTAACTAAAAGATGAGGGATGGATGCTAAGCCTTCCCAAATAACTTCTGATAATCAACTGTGGATTCGTAGTTCAATGAATTGTGAAAATGATTTTGAACCCTTTAATAATTTGTATTTTTTGCATGTCTCTTTCTCTATCGGGGTAAAAGTCAAAGCAAAATTTACCAATTTTCTATTGGTTCCTTTCTCTAGAGATTGTTTTCTTTTCTTTCCACTGTCGTAGTTCAAATTTTATCCCCACAAACTCCAGGACACAGTCAGAGTTTTTTAATGAAATTTGGCTGCATTACATCATTGTCGAAGCTTGGAGAACAAACATTTTGTGACACAGATTTTCACTGCCATGTTATTTGCAAATAGTAATGAGAAAGTAACATTTTTTTTTAAATGAAAACCAGACCATTCCCAATCTCCTACTTATTTTTTGGATTTGAAATGACAATTGGCTTCTCATTAACTTTATAGTCACAAATTCCCTCCCATCTTCATTGTCATTGCTTTGGCTGAGTTCCTCATACTCTACTATCTGGATCAATCGTTAACTCATTTATTCAACACTTACTCTCATTTATTCAACACTTACTTAGAGTATTTACTTTAGTCTATATTCTGTCCCCAGGACTTGACACAAAAATAAATCAGAAATGTACTTTATCTTCAAGGAGCACTCCCATCCTTATGAGTAGGAAGTAGATATATCTATGAGGTCCAGTAGGAAATCAAATATTATACTGGATATCTTTTTTTCTTTTTCTTTCTTTTTTTTTTTTTTGGTAGAGGTTCTGGGGAGGTTACTCTGGGTATCTTAAAGAGAATTTAATATCAGGAACTGATTGCACAGGTGTTAGAAGCCTGGAAAATCACAGAGGAGAGACTGAGGTAGCCCAGAGAGAACGTATTAATAACTATAGAAAACACCTATCACCTGAAAAGTGAGGGAACGCAAGGGAGGAGATTAGGGTTACCAGACCCCAGAAGCTCAAAGAAGGGCCCTGTAAAACTGCCATTCATATCTATGAAGCTCATGACGAGGCTGCGATCACCAAGAGAAGATGGAATCAGCTGCTGCTCTGGGAAGGAACTGCAAGCAAGTGGAAAGGATCAAGTGGCATCTCTCTCCCCTGCCTTCCTGTCTCCTAGTCCCCTTATTGACAGAATCTAACATGGAGGCAGTGGTGAAGGCATCTGGGAAATGTAGTTGCCTCAGTCCCAGCCGCATCATCACAGAGAAGAGTTGAGAAGGGTAGAGAAAAAAATCTAAATAACCAGCATAACATTTAAACAAAAACTGAAATTGAAATAAGGTGTGAATAGGTAGGTCAGCTGATTGAAATATATGGTGGTGATCATGAGGATCCTAGAGGAGACTGTCAGGTCCTACCTTGGGGAGAATCAGTAATTCTTACCTCACAACAGGGGTGGTGCTGGAAGTGAGCCTTGAAAGACAACACAACACCTATTTAGGCATTCATTAGGCAGAAGGCCGAGCCAGCACCAAGGCTTGAACCAAAACTAGGTGTTTGGGGGGTTTTGCCAAATGATTCAGAATGACTCAAGATTAGGGTTTGGGAAGCGAAAGGAAAGGGGACACAGCCAAGGATTCATACATTTAGCCAATATTTGTTAAAAACTTACCATGTCCCATGTAGTATGCTGCATGCTAATTTACATCATTGGAGAAGGTAGACAAGACTCCTGCCATATGAAATGTACACACCCATACCTGAAACAAGCAACCATCACATACACAGAGAAAGAAAAAAACTACAAAATGCAGCAAAGGCAATAAATGGGGTGCTCTGATGGAGAATAAATGAGGACCATCTAATTTAGTCCAGTTAGTCTGAGGTGGTCTATTTAAGTTGATACTTGAAGGATGAAAAAGAACAAACTACTTGAAGTGCCTGGGAAATATTAGTGAGCATTAAGCTAGTCCTTAAAGCCAACAGAAGGCAAGGGTAACTGAAGAATACACACACACACACACACACACACACACACACACACACACACTCATACATATACTTTTTTTGTTCTTTGCAAAAAAGGAAAAAAATACATATCTCATTAGCTAGAGCCAGAGAATGCCTCAGCTACAAGGACCTCTGTCTAGGCCAAGCTAAACATCAGAAAAGGGATGGGAGAGGTAGGAAGGACCTGGTCACGGATGATTCTATGTGCAGTGTCAGGATGGGAATCCGTTCCATGGCAATGAAAAGCCCTGGCACAGGTTTAAACTGAGCCATGTTGACATCTGTTGTTTTGTGTTAGAAGAATTACATTGGTGATGATGTGGAGAACTTTTGCTACAGGTGGATATTAAAGACAATTTTAAATAATTGAAAGATACCAATATATGCTCTCTCTCTCTCTCTCTCTCTCTCTCTATATATATATATATATATATATATATATTGCATAAATAACGTCACATCTGCTTGTTTGGTGGTCAAATCATTTGAAAGCCATTGCATTATAGTTTGAACAGAATATTGGTTTTATTTTTCCCCCCAAACAAGGTTTGAGAGATGAAGTAGTGTAGGTGACCAAAAATATGATGAGACACAATTAAAATACTCTATTTAAACCTTACTTTCATTGGTTAAAATAGTTACATATACTATTTGATAAGTACAGACAATATATGTAATAGAACTAAGGCGTTGAGCTTAGTAATGAAAACTACAGTCTTGAATCAGTCTTCTTACTTCAATGTAGAACATTGCCAGTATCCTTGTGTCTACTTGTGTATTTCCTGCCCAAATCCACTTTTCTGAAAGGTCACTCCTAAATTGAATTTTGCATTAATCTTTTCCTTGCTTCAAAAATTGGTTTCACCACACATGTGTCTCTGCAGAATATATTGTTTTGTATTTCTTGTATTTAAACTTTATTAAAAAGACATTATACTTTATGTATTTTTTTTTAAAACTTATTTTAGGTTCTGGGGTACATGTGCAGGCTTGCTATACAGGTAAATTGTGTGCTGCAGGGATTTGGTGTACAAATTATTTTTTCACTGAGGTAATAAGTATAGTACCCAATAGGTAGTTTTTCGATCCTCACCCTTCTCTCACCCTCCACCCTCAGTAGGCTCCGGTGTTTGTTGTTCCCTTCTTTACGTCCATATGTACTCAATGTTTAGCTTCCACTGAGAAGTGAGAATATGCAGTATTTTATGTAGTCCTCTGTGACTTGCCTTTTTTTCCTCTTCAATATTGTGGTGTCTAAGATTGATCTCTATGGTTGTGCATTTTCTTTTTTAAAATGGTGTTTTTTTGTTGATACATAATAGATGCACATAATTTCAGAATACATATGATAATACATTCATATAATTTGTATTCAAATTGCTAACTTTTTTTTTTTTGAGACAGAGTCTTGCTCTGTCGCCCAGGCTGGAGTGCAGAGGCGCGATCTCAGCTCACTGCAAGCTCCGCCTCCCAGGTTCACGCCATTCTCCTGCCTCAGCCTCCAGAGTAGCTGGGACCACAGGAGCCCACCACCATGCCCGGCTAATTTTTTTGTATTTTTAGTAGAGGACGGGGTTTCACCGTGTTCGCCAGGATGGTCTCGATCTCCTGACCTTGTGATCCGCCCGCCTCGGCCTCGAAAAGTGCTGGGATTATAGGCGTGAGCCACCGACCCCGGCCTCACATTCATATAATTTGTAAGGGTCAAATCAGTGTGATTGAGATATTCATCGCCGTAAATATTTGTTTTATTTGTTTTTTCTTTATGCTAGAAACATTCGAATTACTCTCATCCAGCTATTTTGAAATACACAATTGATTATTGTAAACTATAGTCACCCTATTGATCTATCAAACAGTAGGTCTTATTTTTTCTATCAAACTGTACATTTGTACCCATAATCAGTCTCTCTTCAATGCTGTCTAATATTCCACCAAGTGAATAAATCACAGTTATTTCTACTCTGGCAGTGGTTATGTAGGTTTTAAAAATGATCATTATTTGCTATTACATACAACATTGCTCTGAATGTTCTTGTACATGTCTCCTGGTAGATAAGTGCAAAATTGTTCCAATATATATACACATATTCATACCTAGGAGTAGAATTGTATAATACACACACACACACACACACACACACACACACACACAGACACACACGAGAGCAGAACAATTGAATTTTTAACTTTATGTTATTTTCTAATAAATGATGCTGATTAAATTTTTTTAAATTGCAGAATTACTCATGAGTTACCCCTAAGTCCTGCCTCATTGTTGCATTCCTGATTTTTGGTTGCTTACAGGAATCATTTTGACATGTTCATTTTAATGCCAACTAACCTCTCTTTATTTCTGCCCTAATTATGAGGAAAGATAACCTTTAATTTATTCCCGTGAAAGGATCTCAGGCCCCGTGTTGTGTGACTCAGAAGATGAAGGAGCATGATAATTTATAGCTCCTTCCAGGAGGTGGATTTACTGTGAAGTTAATGATGCTAAACCTTCAAGACCCCTTATTTGCCAGGGCGTCTACTAGCTTCATTTGAAAATGTTTGCTTTTGTATATACATTTTATTCATAATTTTAAAAATTTTTCTTAAAGAGGATCCCAACTTGTAAATGTCCAAGG
This sequence comes from Homo sapiens, assembly GCF_000001405.40. NCBI lineage: Eukaryota > Metazoa > Chordata > Mammalia > Primates > Hominidae > Homo > Homo sapiens. Next base: position 98,797,615 of record NC_000006.12, on the reverse strand, counting down.
TTCCATGAAACTGGGATTTGTCCCTAGTTTCTTTTCTATTATAATAACTTTAGTTTGGTGTTTAATTTACACTTTATAGCATTCGTCTTCAGAATCCTATGCAATAGCTTTTACGAGACTTCCTAAAAGATTCAACACATATTTCCTCTGAATATATAAAAAAATCACCTCAAACAACATACGAGTCATTAAACTAACTCAACAGTGACCTCTTCCTAAGGGATATCATCCCAGTTTTACTGACATTACTTAGAAATGAGTCAGAATCCTAACAGTTTTCAACATGGTGAATTAATCTAATCTATTTATTTATATTTTGTAAATTTATTTTTTTCCATAAGTTGTTGGGGTACAGGTGGTATTTGGTTACATAATTTCTTTAGTAGAGATTTGTGAGATCCTGGTGCACCCATCACCTGAGCAGTATACACGGCACCATATTTGTGTCTTTTATCCATCACCCCCCTCCCACTCTTCCCCTCAAGTCCCCAAAGTCTATTGTATCATTCTGATGCCTTTGTGTCCTCATACCTTAGCTCCCACATATCAGTGAGAACATATGATGTTTGGTTTTCCATTCCTGAGTTACTTCACTTAGAATAAGTCTCAAATCTCATCCAGGTTACTGCAAATGCTGTCAATTTATTCCTTTTTATGGTTGAGTAGTATTCTATTGTATATATATACCACAGTTTCTTTTTCCACTCATTGATTGATGGGCTTTTGGGTTGGTTGCACAATTTTGCTATTGTGAATTGTGCTGCTATAAACATGTGTGTGCAAGTATCTTTTTCAAATAATGAGGTGGAGTGGAAGGCCTGACACTCACTGCCTGCTCTGTTTTCTGTCCCTGCCTGAGCAAAGGCTGTGCTTAACCTTCAAAGCTCCTTACATACTCACTTTGGTATATAATTTTTGTTCATAGCTTTTTATTCTTTTTCATAAAACGGCCCCCAGATGCATACATTTTTAAAAAAAATTAGGTAATCTCAGAAGGATTTTGGTGTTTGACAGCAGTTCTTTTTTTTAATATCAATCATTTTGGGGGGTACAGGTAGATTTTGGTTACATGGATAAGTTCTTTAGTGTTGATTTATGGGATTTTAGTGAATCCGTCACCCAAGTAGTGTGCACTTGACAGCATTTCTTGAACTTAAAAACTCAGATTTTTCAGAATATTCCCACAGACCTCAGTTTAAGCAACCCTGGGATATGAGGATAAAAGTTGACATTTTAATCAAGTTAGAGGTCCTCAAACTCACATTTAAGCCTGTGCTGTGAGCATCTTCTGTGGATGCTCCCTCCATTCAGGGAGCACTCCTGGGGTGCCCCCTTCACTCCTAAACTCCCTTCGAGCATTTCTATTGGTTAGCCCACTCCTTCGCCAGAGGAGGAGGCTCTTTCTTGTTCTTAAAAGCTCCAGCAGCACCTCTGTCTCTGTCAGGGTGTGCTTTGGAGATTTCTTTCCCCACCTCTTGAAAGTACCGCTGATCTATTCCCCGACCATCTCAGACTAGGTAATAGGATACTCAGCCGGAGGTAGGATGTTGTTAGCCACAGAATAGCAGCCTCAGTTAATTTGCACAGAATATCTTATTCCTATGTCTCTCTTATGTAACACTTTCCTTCTGGTGAATTTAAGCCTCCTCAAGCAATAACAACTTGCATTTATACAGCCTTATGAACATGAACTCACATAAATCACATTCATTAGTACCTCTTTCCTTCAGAGGTTCCTTTCCCAGGTGACTAGCGTGCCTCCAGCCTGCCTCCCAACCTCTGCCTCGCCTCTGTTATTGGCATAATCGTACTTGACTCTCCCAGGGGAACTCCGCCTGCCCAATCCTTTTCCCCATTTCTCCATGAGTCTCAGTCCAATTTAGTTGAGGCCCACGAAGCCTGCTCCCTGCTCTGACAAACCTTCCCCACCTGCCCCTCAGCTCACCTAAATGTCTCTCTCCTCTTGGAGTCACTCTCCAATTGTGCTTTATTGAGAGGACGGAGTTGTCTGTCCTGGGTGAGCACCAGTGTCTTATGTCTTCTCCAGCTCAAAATTCTCCTCATATTTTTTTCACCTTCTCGTCCTCCCCATAAATACTGTCTACCTCATCAAGTGAATAAATATCACATAGCATAGTAGTTGACAGTGAAGGCTGGGGTGGACTCTAGCTTGACTACTGGATACTTAAAAAGTATCTGAATACTTAAAAAGTTCAAAACATTCTCCCACCCATGGCTATTTTAACTAGGAGACAATTTTTAAAAACTTTCTAAGATTCAGGTTTCTCATTTATAAAATGAAATTAACAGTAGTGCTTACTTCATAGAGAAGTTGTGAGGATTAAATGAGAAAATAAATGTAAAGTATTTACCAAAGTTCTTAACACATAGTTTACAGATGATAAATATTTAGTTTTCACTCTTACAGGCACCATGTTCTTCCATGGACTTATCCACTAGGCTTGCTTTTTGAGTTGTCTGTGACAAGGAGAGTGAAAATATTTACATTTTAGGCAACATATCTAAAATATTTAAAATTTAAAATGTTACATTATGCAACATTTTCAATTTACTTTGGGGCTTTTAGTATGATTGTTATTTCTTTAAGTGTTTGAAAAGGTAACACTGCTTCCTTGACACTAAAATATTAATCAATTCTCATTTTATTCTAGGAAAGGAACCATATTTTATTATTATCATCCCCATTTCAAAGATGGGGAAATGAAGGTATTGAGAAAAAAGATAATTTGCACCAGGTCACAGAATGACTGAAGAGGAGAGATAATGTATAAGCCTAGACCTGGTTTGCTCTTTGTGCAATTTTGTATGGGTATTTTAAAAAATGCACCAAAAAAAACCCTAGTCAGAATCTTCTGAATAGTAATCATGTGTTGAAAGACGGTGTATTCTTTTTGCATAAAAGATTTTCTGCATTACAGCAGGGGGCCTTACTCTGATGTGTCAGGAGGAAGAAGAAAATTCATTTCTTATACCAGCCTGTCAGCTGCCCTTTATGATTGGACCATATACCATTAGACAATCACAAACAGTGACAAGAGCTTTTGCTCTGTAGCGATCCTTATGTTTGAATTGGTTTGCTGAAATGCCGCACTATGCTGCATTACCAGAAAACACTACAAAGAACAGATGTGCAGTGCCATGTGATATTTATTATTTAGATGTTTAATCCGGCTGTTTTAAATACTATTCCCATTTTGTTACAGTATATTAGATATTTGAAGTATTCTTTTTAAAGATCCATGTTAAAAGCAAAATAAATGATATATTTTTATGGATTAAGTAGGTCCTTCACTGTTACATCATCACATCCTAAGAGTGACTGAAAATAATATCTTTCCAATTTTCATTCACAAAATTATACAGATAATTTTCATTGTATATTTGTAGCAATTTTACCAGAGTAAATTCACATCCTCTGCAGATGGTATAATTCTTATACCTACCTTTGGGGAGACTTCTTCTATAGAAGTACAGAAGATATGTGCTCTTATATTAACTCCCAGTAGATTACAAAAAGTAATCAGACCCAAATGGAAGATATACTCTCCATTATATATTTTCAGACTTGAAGTAGTATTTTTTTTCCCTGCATACTAAAGTAGGGACCTTTTAAATTATCTCTGGTCCCTTTACAACTCCTTGAGTAAGTATATTGAGAATAAGTACATTTATCGTTGAAGACTGTTAGTAAAGAATATGGTATTTATTCAGACAGTTCAGAGACACAACATTTGAAGAGTTTTAAAATTGCTTATTTGGTTTAGAGGCGTATTCACTTCTTGGACAAGATACTGTTAAGTGATGAAAGTTAGAAAGCTTATCCCTTCACTGATCTTGGTCATAGTCAATGAAAATATTAATTTTAAAGAATTAATATGTAGAGAAATGCTATATGAATTTTAATAATGAGTTTCATGTTTAAATTATAAGAAAATTTAATAGAACATATATTCCTAAGTTTAATTTTAAAGACACTGCATTTCTTGAGTCAACATGAATGCTATAAAGAGATTTCAGGATGGAAAATTAGTACAGAACAAAGCCTACTGTGGAGAATCAGTAAGTGCCAGCTATGATAAAAACCTATTACAAGGCACCTGGTTATAGCAAGGATTTGATCATGGAGGTCCAATCATGTTCTCTGTGTACATAGTGATGTGTGGTGCATCTCTTTTCCTCTAACCTGGAAAGCATAAAGTATGGGGTTTCTGAGTGTCCTCTGGCTCCTGCATTATAACAGGATTCCACATAGTAAGGCCATTAAGACATTTATGAATGCATCAGTGGCAACTTAGCTGGAAGATTGCAAAACGCTTGGGGATGGGAAATTTGTGCTTACATATTCATTTATTTAGGATTTTACCCTTACTGCCGAAAGAATATGGGGTGGCTTTCATACTTAGAGCAATGAAGTAAATATATTAAAACAAATATTAGCCTTTTAGACAAACATTTTCTCATTAGTCTTCTCTGTGAACTGAATGAGGTTATAAATGGTTTGAAGTTTCTTAAGTCATTATGTTCTGTGGCTTTTCTAAAATTAGAGTGCCACATTTTCAGTAACTGTTTGTATTTACATAATTTTATTAATTTTTATTACAGTTCAAAGCATACAACCACTTTACCAAGTGCCTTTTTGTAATTAGAATGTTATATCTTCACTTTGTTTTGGCTCTCAGTGAATACAGTACCATCACATTTCATTAGCAAATACAGAACAGTATTTCCTGATGTAATTAGACAAGTGTATTTGGTGTTTAACATGATTTTCATCTTCACTAGAGAGAGATATAGAACTTGGGAGTCTCTTTTATCACTTTAAAAATTCTTCTGCCTTAAATGAAAATTTCTTTTTACTTTTATTATTCTTGTTTGATTTTGTGAGGTAGCATGTCACCTGGATCTACGGATGTAGCAAATTATCTTAGTTTGTCTGGAAGAAGAATACCAGGAAGTCTGTCTGTGTGTGTAAGATATAAAGGACTATATTTGAAAAAGTAACACAAAAATGACTGTTTAGCGCAATCTGAGAAAGTTTTTTTTGTTAGACCTGCAGCTGGTATAATTCTGGGTGCATTTGACTGGGACCTCTTTGTGGAGATCAATGGTGGTTTAGGGTTAAATAGAACATTAACTTTGGGAGGCCAAGGCAGGTGGATCACCTGAGGTCGGGAGTTCAAGAGCAGCCTGGCCGACTTGGTGAAACCCTGTCTCTACTAAAAATATAGAAAAACTTAGCCAGGCCTGGTGGCAGGTGCTTGTAATCCCAGCTACTCTGAGGCTGAGGCAGGAAAATTGCTTGAACCTGGGAGGTGGAGGTTGCAGTGAGCCAAGATTGTGCCACTTGCAGTCCAGCCTGGGTGACACAGTGAGACTCCGTCTCAAAAAAATAATGATAAAAAAATAAAAAAATAAAACATTAGGTAGTCTCAGACAAACCCTTATTCAGGACACTGGAGAAGCAGAGACTGTAATAAACATTTATTCTTATAGCATATCATTCTTCCATTAAAACTACAAATTATTTATTCACTATAGCTTACTGATCTATAGAAACAACACTAGAAATAGGGTTTTGAAACATTTCAAGCTTTTTTTTGTTTGCTTTTAACAAGAAAGGCTCCTAATCATGCTGATTATTCCTCTTTCCCTTTTATTAACAAAAGATGGGCAATGTATGTCTTCCTATTAATATCAACACTATGTGGTCAGTTTTAATTTGTTTTTTTTTTTATTTCTGTATAATATTTTCCTCAGCAAGATTGCCATGAGAAATGGTGTTGACTATACATTTTATAGGATTAGGTACTAGTTATGATAATTTAAATTGATCTTTTGAAGTAGATAGAGTTCGAATACTTGTGACATTTTTCAGATATAAAATTGCTTCTGATATTTACAATGGTTGTTTATGATCAGGTCTTCCTCTGCAGTGGTTTTGAACTAAATTCTTAGTTTAATGGAACAGACAGATATCAGGGGATCTTTGCGGCTGTCTCAGAAATTTAGTATGATAGGATAAAATATCATGGTTTTTTCTTGTGTCTTAGGCTATTTGCCATTTGTGTCTTTCAAAAATGTTATTTATTATACTCTATTTTCTCAAGGGATTCAATTTACAAGAAGAATGGTAAAATACAAAATATTAAAAATAGGCTTAAGGAAAATAGGAATTAGAAGAAGAGTCAAGATCAGAAACAAGATAGGGCACAGTTGTAACAGTTGTGCTCTATATTAAGGTTTAAGCTTCCTAGTGGCTTGAGTGAAAAGGCAGAATTGGGTAACTGTTCAAGATGATCAAACAAACACTTTCTCTGGGGCACAGAAAACGATTCTGAGCACATAGCCCTAAAAGAAATTTCCTTCATAGAAATACATATAAGAAGGGCCTGAATGGTGCTCTCAATAATATTCTTATAGGCAATGAAATAAAAGATTTCCAAAAAGAAGGCTTTTTGTTTCCTCTCAATTAATACGAAAGCTAAAGGCAGACTACAAAAAAAGTATCCCAGTATAAGCAGTTCCATAAAGAATCAAGACAATATGGCACTAATGAGAGTTTTTGATATGCACCTTGGTCCCTCTAGAGTAGGAGTCCCCAACCCCTGAGCTGCGAATCAGTACTAGTTCATGGCCTGTTAGGAAACTGGCCACACAGCAGGAGGTGAGCAGTGGGCAAGTGAGCATTACTACTTGAGCATGATCTCCTGTCAGATCAGTGGTGGCATTAGACTCTCACAGAAGCAGGAACCTTATTGTGAACTGCACATGGAGGGATCTAGGTGCTCGCTCTTTACGAGAATCTAACTAATGCTTTGGTGATCTGAGGTGGAAGAATTTCATCCCAAAAACATCCCCCAGGTCCCCCTCTTCCCTTTGCCCCACCCTTGCCAAAAAGGTTGGGGACTGTTGCTCTAGAGGAATGGACAGCTAGCAAGTCCTTTCAGTTCTTCTCCTGTGGATGGTAGGCAGTTTGAGGCTGTATTCTCCGGTGAGGTATTCTGTGTTGTGTATTGAGGTTACGAATGCTCGTCATGCTTTGGGTGCTCACCTCATATCCATAGTCCCTTTATAAGCAAGTAGTTCCTTGTATAAACATTTACTGCTTTGTCATGTGACCTTACTACTAAGGCCACAGCCAGAGTTGGGCCTGGGGTCAGTAACTGAGTTAAAGGCCATATTCTAGGTCAGCATTTGAGATGGGCTGAGAAGAACGCCATCCTTTATGGTTGTTCTAACCTGGATAAGGATTAATTACTCCAATGACTATCTTTGCTCTTAGGGTGGTTGACTTGAAAATGTGCAAAAAGAGGTGGAGACCAAAAGAGTGGCTCTGAAGTGAGGTGATGCCCTGAAAGCAGACAAGCAGAAGCCATGAAACAGAGGAGAGGGAAACCGAGGCACACAAATGGCAGACCCCTGGAGCTGCTGTGAAGCTTTTGACATTGCAGTGGCAGCATAAGTGATGTTCAGCTTCCTTACAAGATTTTCGTGCTTCCTTACTCTCTTGGCAACCTTATAGTGAAGCTCATTATGTAAGATAATCTGCATATTTTTGTTCTTTGTAACAGAAAAGAGTCAAACACAAGGGTCTGTCTGCCCATGTAATCTGAAGATTAAATGACAGGATAGTTTGTTATTCTTTTTGTAGATATTAAGGATACTAACAAAATTCTTACCAGGATTAATCACCAGGTACATTTATGTCTCTTTGCCATTAGTGATAGAAATATAGCAACTAAAATTTCCTTCCGGGGTAATTATAAGTAACACCAATTGAAGATTATTGAGGCTTATGTTTTTGTAAAATCCATAAAAACATTTAAGATTTATACATAGACATCTTGTAATGTATTTGATTCAATAACTCTGGAATTTAAAATTGTGCTGTTTTAAAATAGCATAAGACCTTTTAAAACAGCAATTCAAATGCTAAAAAGAACAGGACAGTTTGGAGGGTAAGGTCTATGATTTAGCATGTCATGGAGCTGATATCTTTGATTATAATCAGAAAAACAAATAAGTTGGCTTCTTTTACTGTATTAGGTTTACGTTTTAGAGAAACAATGGCATGGTGCAATTACCCATAGGTTTATAATAAGAGGAATGTGGAATCTGGGGATTCGGAGCTCTCCTATTGTCTCTTCCTACTGTAGAATTAGAATATTGCGTTACAATGAGATAATGCTAATGAAGCAAAGTATATTCATCCTTCAGCCCCTCGAAGAGCACTCTGCTAATGTGGTCTCCTATCTTTAACGATTCAACCCAAATCGGTGATGACCTTTCTAATGGAACATAAAACCTACACTATGCAACCTTGCTAATATATTCTAATGCAATTAGGTCACACAAAAGACTTGTTAAGTTTGTAATGTCTGCATTCACCTTTATCAGAATTCTAAGTGATACCAAAAGTTTGTCATTCCTCACTGTATCACTATTATTCTACTACAAATAAAGAAAGGAGTTTATTAAACAAAAGTTCTTCCAAATAATACCACTCTGTAAAACAATTATGGTGTTTGATGATTAAAAAATTATTAAAGGTAATTAAGAGTAATAAAGTTTTACATCTTAGTAATATCCAGGTTATGTATTATCATATTGAAATTTAAACACTATTATATGTATTCTTGGAGAGACTTCATTTTATAAATATATTAAATAGTTTCACTTTTAATAGTGTTTTGTAGTCGTACCCATTAAATGATTTCCTTATTAGGAATAATTTTCCATTTAGAGCTGCTGAGGCTTGCAAGGATTTTGCTTTCCTAAATAAGCATCCATATTGATGCTAATGTCCTGTAGTAGCCACAATCAAGCTGCTTGTTGAAAACTGACATTTCAGAGTTACATCCTGGTTCATTAAAAAATGTACTAACCATCTGTCATCTATCGAATTGTCTCATATATATATATGTATATACACACACACACCACACACACACACACACACGCACACAGACACACATATATCTATCACCCAACGGCCTCTTAATGTAGAGTTGCTGTTAATATTTTGCATGAATAAACCTGGGGAGAGGGGAATCAAAGCCCTTTGCACTGCAAATACAACATTTTATTCTCTTATCTGGCTGCACATGGCCACTTATAAGCCGAAGTTTCTGGAGCTGCCTCTGCAGCAGCAACTTGCCTGGCCAATGGTTCTCTAGAGATAGGAGGTTGCTTACTTTTCGTGTGGAATTTATGTAACACAGATAACTGTCTGCCAGAAACTAAACTGAGCCCACAAAAGTTATTGAAGGTGTGAGATTAGATTCAGCTCTGGTGGAAGGGGGATCCCAGAGGGGATTCCGAGGGAGCGCGCTCTGCCGAGGCGGCCCACATGGCCGGGCTCCTCCGCAGGGAAGTCTGGCTGGCATCTCTACAGTCAGCCACCACTGGCGGATGTTGCTGCAGGCACATCAGAATCTCTTAATGTACTGAGGAAGAAAGGCGCGAGGACAGCAGGGAAGGGAGCCCAGAGGAAAAACGTCTGAAAAATTCCCCGCATAAATTAGCTGGGCCTCTTGCCGTAAAAACTAACAATTTCATCTGATGATGAATCCCGGGGCTCCTTCTTCAAGTGCCTGGAGGGATTGCATACGTAATCTACAAGGTAATTATTAAAAATGCATAGATGGCGTAGGTACAAAAAAAAATGTAAACGTCACCAGAAAAACATTAAAAGGTCTGCATATGTCAATGAATTAGAGTCTGTTTGCTTCTAACAGCTGCTATTTTGGGAATTCCTCTGAGGATGTTTAAAGAGCAAGTTTTGTATATTGAGGTGGCTGCTCCATTGTCGCGGACAGTTGAAACCAGAGTAGGCTATTGAGGGGAGCTAACGGTTTTGGCACTGGTTTTGGGTGTTAAGTATCAACTAACATGTTTATGCCCGCCCTTCAGATGTCCACATACAAAGACCCCTTTCTCTCCCTTCTGGCAGGAATCCAGGCCAATCTTGGAATGCTTAGTCCCCCGCCCATCATTAAGGGCCCTGTGTTAATCGTGGGGCTTCATCTCAGAAGCACCCTGGAAAGGAATGCTCACTGACCCACAGCATCTACGTTTCCGCTTCTGTAGAAATTGCATGCACATGATCATGAGGTTCTGAAGCAGAGCTAAGAAACAATCAAGCTCAAGTTCACATAAAGCTATCTAGTGGTTTAGTATTTTAGCCATGCTAGTGGGCGGGTCATTGAGTTGTTGCTGTCATTGAAGGAAATCTGTATTCTATTCGGAGTGTGTGATACGTCTGTATATATGTAAATCATAAATACATATACACATATATGAGATTCTTCCTCATTATTATTTCTATGAAGACCACAGATGCCATATACTTTATTCAGTAACATGTAGGCCAAGTCTTAGTCTGCTAAAATGACGATAGCCTGATGTAAAATAATAAGTTCAAGCAGGGTTTTGGTAAATAAGATGATAAGCAGGCAGATAGAGAACACTTTCCATCTTTTCCTGTAGCTTTAAGCTGAGTGCTGTAGCTATGCTGGTATAACTAAAAACGATTTTACTTTTTTGTGATTTATTTGGCATTAAAATTTTGATGTTCTGTAGGCTTTGCTGAGACTGAACATTTTAATAAGCTGTATGTTTATAAATTTACTAAAATAAAATCCACTATCAATGGAGAAGAGAAATTTGAATCATTCTACTAGTAAACAATTTTCAGGGTGATTTTTTTTGGAAAACGAAAAAAAAGGACTAGCTATTTCTATGACTGTTGTGGGTTAGACATCTTCTACTTGTTATTAGGGAAGGAGTTAAAATAAATATGGTCTCATATCTAATTATTAGGTTATTATATTGTATATATGATGTTATTTACTTAAAATTATAACTTATTTGGGTTACATATACAGTATTATGATTCTTCTTCTGTCCTTAATGTGTTTGTTTTTAGGACTCAAAAACGAGTCTTGAATCTTTAGAAAAGTAGAAAAATTCTCTCCTACATGCCAACAATTTTGCATGTTTACACTGTCCAATTTACATTTTTTCAAGGTATTAGTGCAAAAAGATAGTGAGAAGTGGGTAATTTGTTTATTTCTAAACAAAAAATCCTCACAGATTAGATTTATTTATTGATTCCTCAGTTGCATTGCCAGTTTTGTGTCTTTTCTCCGACCAACACAGACATGATTTTTTACTCTGCGGGCTGGAATCGTGGTTTTAAAAATCCCTGGAGACAAGGTCTGAACTTCTTACTAGATGCGATGACATCTATCCTGCTCCATACTGTATGGCTGGCACATAATTGGCACTCAATAAATAATTTTTGAATGAATGATTGGATAAAGACCTTTGTGTGGGAGGAAATATTATGCCCCTCCCCTTTTCTGGTGTACGTTATCCAGACACCACAGCATTTCACAGGCCTGCAGCCTTATGTGGTTAGCATGGATGAGGGTTCTTCAGGTTTCATGAGAATAGGCTATGAACACTGGGTTTTGGTCTTCTTGATTCTCAGTGCCTGGATACCAGGTAAAAATAGTTTTTTGTAATATTGCTGAGAGCAATCAAGTCACCAAACCTCCTCCGCTGGAGGGAAAAGGAGGGTAAAGGAAGGGAGAGAAGGGCAGACATTGTTTCCAATACTCTTCCTCATTCGACTGTGTACCTCTTCTCTGATTCAACATCCCATTGACTTTATGGTGATACCCTTTCTATTTTTGATGTTTTTCTCCATTCTACATTAGTTACTATTCACTATTTAGTACCCTGGTGTTATCATAGGTCATGCCATCCCTTTGGCATCACTTTATATATTAGGTACTATTGAACTGCTCCAACTCTGCTGTTTCAACATGTCAGTTTGCTGACTGACCACATCCATATTTTTTCTTTTCTCACTCACTGTCATCTCTTCTGCAGCCTAATAAGGACCTCCAATTCCTTGAACCCCTTACCTTCTAACGTCTCTCTCTCTTTTCTTCCCTACTTAAATTAGGTTTTATACTTTACTCTTTTAATTGTTCTCTTTCCAGCAACTTCCCCCAATATGCTTCAGGGTCCCACACACCTGCAGAATCCCAACCCTGCTTAAATTCAGCTCTTTGGATCCTCCACTCCTACACCAGAAAGCTGTGCCCTGCTAGAAAAAAAAAAAGAAAACACCCAACATTTGTCAAATCAGAAATATGGTAGTCAATCCAGACAGCTCTTTTTCCGCTTCCCCTCCTTACCACGATCCCTAGGTTCTGTGCTTCCTACCTAAATACCTTTTAAATTTGTCCTTCTCATTTTCCCACATTGCCACTCCCTTACATCAGGCCACTATTATTACCCTTTACTTCCCTAATGGCACTCACTTGCTAACTGGTCCTGCTGCCTTTATTCTTGTCCTCTTGTTATCCAGGCTGCATACAACAGCCATAATGGTCTTTGTACACCATATCATTTTCTCTTCTAACATCATTTAGCGGCATTGTTTTTGGATTTAGGACAGAAACCAAACTTTTAAACATGGTATAAATCCCTATGGGATATGGCTTCTGCCCATATCTCCAGTTTCACCTCCCACCTCTTCTCTTTTTTCTCCAAATCTATAAGTACGAATAGCTTTGTCAGTTCAGGCTCCGTGCTCTCTCTTTTTTTTGGACATTCTTACTTTTTCACTCCTCCTCTTCATCCTTTCACCTTCAACTTCCTTTCTCCTGGTGACCACTTATTCATCTTTCCCTTGTTTATTGCATCAAGGGGTTCTTTCCTGATGTATCCTCTCCCGCCAAAAATATCTGACTTGTGCTCTTACTAAGTGCTCCCAGGGGACACTATCTCTCCTCCATTATAGCACTTAGCATACTGTGTTTCAACTGCTTATTTGTCTATATCTTCCACTACTTTACAAAGTCCATGGAGGCAGGGACCCAATCTATCTTGTTCACTATTGTGCCCCAGTGCACAGTACAATGCTAATAATATAGTAAAGGGCAGATAAATATTTATAGCAGAGAGAATAGGGTGATGGTTAAGGTAAAATATCATGAGCTAAATTGCCTGGGTTCAAATTCTAGGGCTGCCAATTACTTTCTGGATAAACTTGAGCAAATTACTTAAACTTCTCTATGTCTAGCTTTCTTATCTATAAGATGGGGGTGGGCCAGGCATGGTGGCTCATGCCCGTAATCCCAGCAATTTGGGAGGCAGAGGCAGGTGGATCACCTGAGGTGAGGAGTTGGAGACCAGTCTGGCCAACAAGGTGAAGCCCTGTCTCTACTAAAAATACAAAAAATTAACCAGGAGTGGTGGTTTGCACTTGTAGTCCCAGCTACTTGGGAGGCTGAGGCATGAGAATCGCTTGAACCCGAGAGGTAGAAGTTGCAGTGAGATTGCACCACTGCAGTCTAGCCTGGGCAACAGAGTGAGACTGTCTCAAAAAAACCCAAACAACAACAACAAAAAAAGATGGGGGTTATTAAATGACTTACCTCATATGGTTGTGAGCATTGAATTAACACATGCGAAGTGTTTAGAATAGTGCCTGGTACAGAGTAAACACCCAATTGGCTAATATTATTTGTTAAAACATTTAATATGATCATTAAAAATAATAGTAATCTGCCTATCTTTAGTTGAAAATGAACATATCTTTATACATCTTTATGAACCAGTTGTGCATGTTAAATCAAATCTGTGACCCAATTCATTATATAAACTAATAACTCAATTAATAGTGTAAACATCAACCTGGATTTTTCCCTTTGGTGATTTGGAGAACATGGCTATGTACTCTCCTGCACATTGACTTGTGTCGTTTTTTCTGTCTATTCTGATAGTGACGTCACCCAGCAGTGAATCTGGCTACCAACCTGACTGTGTCCACCTTTATGCCAGTATCTAAAACATGACATTATCAGGCTTACTGATTTTCAAATTAGGGCTTTCCTTAATTTTTAAATGCTTGGAATGCTTATTCTTCTACATAAGGCAACATGATGCTGAGACAGTTACACTCCCTCTTCTTTTTTAAATATGAAGGAGATTTTCAACCATCTTTTATAAGTAAGAAAATAGAAGCTGTAAATGCTCTGTTATTTGTCCAGAGACACACATTGGTTAATATTGAAACAAGGAATAAAGAACCGGCATTGTATGGCTGTCTTAAATTTACAATAAAACGTTACTGCAATATATTACTAGGAAAGAAAAGCTCAAGTATGGGAACATAACATATAACATTCTTTAATATTCTTTTTGAAATTACAATCATGAATTTATGCTACACTGGTCCAATTTCCTTATAAGGTGAAGAAAATTGATAAAAAGAGGTCCTTAATTGCATGTACATATGTATAGATAAGCAAATTATATCACCGGTGTAAATAAAGTGATCTTTGTTCAATTTTTAGATTCTCTCTTGTAGAGAGTTAGGATGAAAATCTTTCATCTGTGTCCTTGATGTCCTTGAGTCTTAAGTATTAGGTCTTGCTATATGAAAGCTGTACTTATTTCTCTCTGTCCTTACCCTGCCAAACTTTTGCTATGTTACATTCTTTACCCCAGAGGACACTACTTACTAATTGCTTCGCCATTTGTCCCAGGCAATCTAGTTTCTGATCTCTTCGCTGTACATACAAATGGTGAAAGTTGCCTGTAATCTGACATTTTCTTAGCTTTGACTCATCTTTCACTTTCTTTCTAGGTAACTCTGTTGATCAACTCACCATTGTTAAAACACACCCCTCCTCTGGTGGCAACATCTCCAAGCTTGTCTAGGTTTTGTGATACTGGTTGTGTCTTTCCTTGTTTGTCTTTGCTTACTCTGTTGGCTCCTCTTTCTTCCTGCATGTTTGACAAAGTGTCCACCAAGTTGCAGTCTTTTCTTTCTCTTCTTTAATTTCTGCCCTTTGAGCATTCCATTCTCTTCTGTAATTTGCCCCGAGTTTTGTGAAAGGAAAGATTCCATCTTTGTCATTCTTGTATCTATTCCTAATACTTAGCACAATACCTGGGGTATAGTAGGTGGTCAAAAAGTTTATTGACTTGAACTTCTGCTATGCAGGTGATTCCAAAAATTGAAATCAATAATGCTGACTTTTCTCATCTACTAGTCGCATAATATTTCCCACTTTCTGTGCATTTCCAATGATAACAAACATAGTTACCACTTTTAAGCATCTGTTGTAACCTAGCCAGTCTGCTAGGTGAGTTAAATACATTATTTCTGTGCTACACAGCAATTCTCCAAATTACACATTATCATCAATACCTAATATAGGAGAGAATTGACATCCACCTGAATGTCTAGTAAGCATCTCAGACTTAACATGGGCAAAAAAGAACTCTTTTCCCCATACCTGCTAATACAACTCTTCCCCATCTCAGAAAGCAGCATCCCATTTATCCAGTTATTCCTCATTCAATGCTCTGCTTTCTCACATCCAGTCAATTAACACATATGCACAGTAGACTATAAAAAATACCACCAATCTGGGCTGGGTGCGGTGGCTCCCGCCTGTAATCCCAGCACTTTGGGGGGGCCGAAGCAGGCAGATCACGTGAGGTCAGGAGTTCAAGACTAGCCTGGCCAATATGGCAAAACTCTGTGTCTACTAAAAATACAAAAATTAGCCTGGCGTGGTGGCGCATGCCTGTAATCCCAGCTACTCTGGAGGCTGAGGCAGGAGAATCACTTGAACCCAGGAGGCGGAGGCTGCAGTGAGCTGAGATTGTGCCATTGCACTCCAGCCTGGGTGATAGAGTGAGACTTCATCTCAAAAACAAACAAACTAACTAACTAACAAGCAAACACACCAATCTGCCCATCTTTTTTCATTTCCACCTCCCACTCTTAGTTCAGCCCATCATTTTTTCTGTACCAGTACAAGAAGAGCCTCCTACTGGATTCTCTGACTTGCCTTCACTTCATTCTCCACACAGAAGCCCGTGGTCCTTTAAACACATAAATCAGATCACCTTACATGAGTGATTCCAACCTGCTATAGCTGCAAAAACTATTGACCCTTTGAGTTGGTGGCATTGGCAATATGGCTATACCTGTCCTCTATGTCAAATATTTAAAATTTTGTTTAAAAAATTTTTAAATTTAAAATTTTAAGTGCAAAATAATATCTCTTGTAGTACTTGTATTGCCAATAGTTTTGATATTCACTGAAATCTAACTAGTGGAATGACGAATAGCCAAAGAAAGAATTAAGATAACCAGGGAGCTGTCACTCATTTCCATGGTTCTGCCTTTTAAACCACTGCCATGCATTTGGGGTCAAATTAGCCAGTGCTGGCTGTGAGATTCATAGATGATTCCTGCTCTGGTTGTTTCTGGATTCATGTAAACTACAGGAAGAGAGACTTGGATACAAAGTGTAAGTTTTGCTTATCTTGTCATAGTGTTAAAGTCTGTATACTTTTCTCATACACGTAGATTCATGTTTATATTGTTGAAAAAGTATTTCTAATAAAACCTAGCATTTTTGTGTTTGAAAAATATGACTTTTAATGATAGTTAGTGATTTATCAGTAATACAAATATTCTTCTCTCGTGTAATTAGTGGAGACAAGTCTCAAGCTGAGAATTGTTAAGTGTCAGTGCTTGCTTAATTGGGGCAATTTTCACTTATTTGAAAAATACATACTAATACCATTTGTTAAATGATCTGAACTTGCTCTCATTGAAAAAGAAAGGTAGAGGCCGGGCGTGGTGGCTCACGCCTGTAATCCCAGCACTTTGGGAGGCTGAGGCGGGTGGATCACAAGGTCAGGAGATCGAGACCATTCTGGCTAACACGGTGAAACCCCGTCTCTACTAAAAATACAAAAATTAGCTAGGCTTGGTGGCAGGCGCCTGTAGTCCCAGCTGCTGGGGAGGCTGAGGCAGGAGAATGGCATGAACCCGGGAGGCGGAGCTTGCAGTGAGCCGAGATCACGCCCCTCCACTCCAGCTTGGGCAACAGAGCGAGGCTTCGTCTCAAAAAAAAAAAAAAAAAAAAAGAAAGGTAGAAAATGCCTAAGCACTTTCAACATGGAAGTGTTTCCTGTTTTGTTTGTTGTTGTTTGTAATGCTTTCAGATTTTCCCTGAAGTCTGTGACAAACCTCTGTATATGCAATCCCAAAACATCTTACTGATGATTACTTCAAGAAGAAGCAGCTGAGGAAGCCCAGACACTAGGAAGGTGAGATCTTTGACACAGAAAAAGAGAAATATGAGATTGCAGAGCAGCCCAAGATTGATCAGAAAGCTGTGGACTCACAAATTTTACCAAAAATCAAAAGTATTCCTCAGCTCCAGTGCTACCTGCGATCTGTGTTTGCTCTGACGAATGGAATTTATCCTCACAAATTGGTGTTTTAAATGTCTTGAAGAAGAACCTAATTAAAGAGCTGACAGCAACAACAGCAGCAACAACAAGAACATTAGAAAAGATTCTATCTTGGAATTACTGACTTTGGCTGAGAATGTGCATATTAGATTTCTTTGTTGCTTACTTGAAAATAATATAGTGATTATTTAGCTATTAAAATAATCACCAAGGGTTTCCTTCTAAGTGATCTCTTCTTTCACCTTTGCTTGAAATTTATCATCACCACTAAGTTCACATGACTCCATGACTCTAGCTAAATCTAAGACGATGACAAGCACATTCATATCTCTAGGCATCGTCTCTCCTTAAAGTACTGTATTCCTAGGATTACCTCAAACTCAACATACTACCATGTGAACTTACTAACCACCTTAACCAATTTTCCCTTTTCTCACATTTCCACTTCGGTTAATGTGTAACCAAAGGACTCACCCTCTCTCCAGTTACTCAGGCTAGAAATTGTGTCAAACTGGACTGATCTTCCCCTCACCCTCCACCTAGTGTTCCCAGGGTCACAAAACCCTGTTAATAGTACCACTAAATATTTTCTTATTCTCTTTCTTCCTATGCAGATCCATCATCACAATTAAAACCCTCACCATGTCTTACCTGTGCCTTTGAAACAAAGTATTATTAACAGGTCTTCTAGATTTTGGTTTCCTTGGTCTCCAATCCATTCTTTATTCTGACACCAGAGTAACATTTCTGTAACCACGATATGATGGTGTTATTTTTCTGCCTTAAAACCTTTGGTGGACACACACTATCAAGCTCAAACCCTGTTGCAGAATATATGAAGCCTTTCACAACTTACATTTCCATCCTCATGTGTTAGCAGTATGGGCAGTGCTGGGTAGTAGTTAGAACATATGTGCTAGAGCCTGGCTATCTGGATTTGTGGGTTAGTTTTGCCCAAGTGAGACCTTGAACATGTTATTTAGCTTATCTAAACCTTAGTTTTTTATCTGTAAAATTCGGTTTGGAAATTTTGAAGATTAAGTAAGTCAATGCATGTAAAGAGCTTCGAAGAGTAAATGTTAGTTAGACAATGTTAAATAAATAAAAAACTCTTTTTCTATGTGCATATGGACTTTCACACTATTCTCCAGACAGGCCACATATTGTCTCATCTCTGGAAATTTGCACATAGATAGCAGCTCAAATGTCCTTTCTCTGGTGAATTTTTTTCCAAGATAGGCTAAGTAAGCAACTCCCTTCTTGTTCCAGTAGGGCCCTGCACAAACTTTAGTACAACCTCTGTTAAATTATATTGCAATTGTTCATGTAGGTGTGTCTTCACATAGACTGTTGAAGTGGATGGTCTTATTCATTTTTAAATTTATTTCAGTGCCTATCATATAAGAAATGTTCAATATACATTTGTTAAAGGAATAATCGAGGCACTCCCTTTTCTTGGAGTTATGTCTCAGTACCATAAAATATTTTTTTTCTAGAGGACCATAGTATTCCAAAGGGAGATTTAATAATTTTGTGACTTGAAACAAATCCACAATTTGTTTAGAATGCACATTTTTTTCTTCTCTGCAAACTTCTATTCTGCCGATGTGAGCAAAATGTGTATAGTGTTACCCTAATTAAAATTAGCCTAGATTAGTCTTTATTGGATTTTTACTTAGAAAATATGAAATATCTAGACAAAAAATGTAAAAGATAATCCTTTGTGTTCTCTTATACCACTCTGCCAATGCATTATTGCCCTTTTATGCTCAAAACATGTTGATTACCAGGAAAGTTGTACTATATAAGTTAGGTATTTTGGGAAGTTTTGAGTCTGCTCTTGCAAATATTATTAGTATTGCTGAATGACAGCAAAATGTCCAATTAGGTAAAGTAACCCTGCCCCACCACCTCTGCTTCTTCTGGGATCCCCTGCATTCTTGATGGCCTCTGCTTTCCCCAGCCCAAACTTCCAGCCATCCTCCTCAGGACTCTTCCACACCTTTCCTCACCCCCTCTTGTTTATGGAAGCTTAGTGATTATTGCACTCAATTGAAGATGTAACTGGGTTCTTCAGGTCCCATCTCAAGTAAACAGTCTGCACTGTAGCATCTAGGAGAAAAAAGGCTTTGACCCATAGGAGGAGTTTACTCCAGTGCTGGCAACATCATAACTTTAACCAGGACAGTGCAGGAGACATTTTATTAATCATGAGCCTCCTCCAAATCAGCCTGCTATGAGAAAGGGAGCTCTTGACATCTGTTCTCTCAACTGTCACTGGAGTCCTTTATTCATTGTGGTATAGTAAAAGGAGCATAGACTCTGAAGTCAGCAACACCTGGGTTTGAAGTTTCTCCCACAGGTCCTGCTTTCGTTATTAATGCACAGCTTCTTTCTAAGTTTCAGTTTCCAGCTATAGAATGGAAATGATGCCACCTGTCTATGAAGTGTTGTTGTGAAGGTTAAATAAAATAATGTTGGTCAACTGCTTAGAAATGGGCCTGGTACACAGAAGTATCAATAAAAGACATAAATACTATTATTTTTCACCTATTCCAATTTTAATTGAGGGCTAACTTCATATTAAACATTGTATTGTAGATGAGTCTATAAGTAATCACAGGTATTTATTTTAGCCCAGACTTTTGTGTTTGTCAGCACTCAAAGCTTTTAGCCACTTTCCTCAAATATTTTTCCACTTTATTGTTAGGATCAATTCTCCTTGGGAAGAGAGAAAAGGATGTATGTGGAAAAGGACAAGACTGTCACTGGGATACAAAACTGATAACCTGTCCTAGAATGCAATGTGCCACCATGAAAATGATTTAGAGACTGTAGAATCTGCCAAAGTTAATCAAGGAGTATTAACAGCTTGTTGAAATTCCTTATATTTAAGGGGGTGGGGGGAAAGAAGAGGCAGGCAGAAAAAGGAGGTCATTTCGTTGCTAAGTGTTTAAAGGCATAAATGTAAAAAGGCCATAATGTTTAGCCTGGATCATCAGCTCCAAAATATTGTGAGTTGGCTCTAGGTTTGACGCTGATCTCTTTTCCTCATTTGGTAGCACATCTGAATTTCTTTAAAAAATGTAGTAAAGTTTCAAAATGAAGACTCAAAATTCTCAACTTAGACCACAAATGCTGCTGTGCAACAATGCTGGAGTGCATTAGGTTCATTAGCATACCACCTTTAAGCAAGTTTCCCCTAAATTAAGAATATTTGATAATTGAAATCCACTGGAAGACTATTTGCTCCTTTTCCTACACAGTTTCAATGGCTTATTCTGCTCTATATGTTAATAGCACACGTTGCTTCTATAGCTGCAAGTAGAATCTTTCTAAGACCCTTTCATAGACCTTTGATTAGCTCTCAGTTGCTTGAAGGCAGTAAGTCAGGGATCATTCGAGGACTCTGTCACCCTAAACAAATTGAGCTGACTTCTCCAGGGGAAAACTGCCAAATTTCGTTTTTGGATGAATTTCTTCAGCAAAGATTTCATTTGGCATACGTATGGAAAATTGCATTATCCTTCCCCATTTATTTCACTATTTAACCAATAAACATCTCTTCCTGAAATGAACCCTGTAGTATAATTTTTGCTACGTTCTTTTTCCCTTATAAGTGTGATGGTCAAGCCATAGGCACTAAAGTTGATATTAATGTTTATGGGATCAGATTAAGTGCAATTTTGAATTTATCACAATTACTTCATTCAAGCTTAACTGTAATTGGAAAATTGTGACAAAATGCTTAATAGTATAACATAAGGCAAAAATTTTATGTCCTTGCACAGTGTTTAATGTGACAATCTAACAAAATAATAAATCATGAATTGATCATGAATATATCCA
Source organism: Homo sapiens (assembly GCF_000001405.40). Taxonomy (NCBI): domain Eukaryota; kingdom Metazoa; phylum Chordata; class Mammalia; order Primates; family Hominidae; genus Homo; species Homo sapiens. The sequence continues at coordinate 98,776,441 of NC_000006.12, read as the reverse complement.
AAATTTTGAGCACGATTTTAACTTCATTTTAAGCAATTTTGTATTACATGAAATGAATTATATATAGAGCTTGAATCTTTTTTTTTTTGCTATTAATCTTTTTAAAAACATCACCTAGAGCAATGCTTCTCAAGCTTCAGTGTGCATTAGAATCACCTGGAGGGCTTGTTAGACATGGCTGGTTCTCCCTTCCCTCCTCCTCCAGCCCCCACCCCCAAGTTTTTGATTGAGTAAGTTTGGGGTTGGGGCCTAGAATTTGCATTTCTAACAGTTTCGCAGGTGAGGCTGCTGCTGATCCAGGATACACCTTGAAAACATTGTGATATCAAGAAAGAAGAGGGTTTTAGGAAACGGGTTCTTATACCATTGGCTCCTCCACATACAAGCTGGGTAACTTTAAATAAATTTTCTTTTGGAAGGGCTATGTTTTCATTTATGAGATAGGGATAAGAATGCTTGTCCTGACTACCTTCCATGGACAGGAGGATCAAATACCACATTTTGGGTAAATAAAGGACACAGAACGGGAACTGCTCAACAAAACTACTGGTGCTTCTTAGGTTATTATTTACAAAAAGGTACTTCGAATTAATTAAGAAGCCTTGTATTATAGAACAGGAATTCAAACCTCTCAGTTTTCTAAGAGTTGTCTTAATTTACATGCTGCATAAATAATAATATTAGCAGAGATGCTCAGGACTCCAAAATATAATCAGGTCAGAGAAGCTGATTACAGAGACAGTAAATTAATCTTCTTTTAGTGCTAATTAGCATAGAAACTGGGTTTTGAGTCTGCATTTCCTTAAGAAGACCTCCATCTTCTTCTCTTTTTTTTTTTTTACTCCTTTCAAAAGCATCTATCGAGGGCCAACTGTGTGTTGGGCACTGAGTTAGGAAGTGCAGTGGCAGAGGTGTGCTCATCGTGCTCACAGCCTGTTAAAATACTTCCTTGTAATTCAAAGTGATAACTCTTCCATAGAGGAATGTGCTAAGCAGTGCAGGAGCACAGAGGAGAGAAGACCTGATTCTGCCTGAAGGGGTCAGGGAAGCCTTCCAGTTAATGTTGCTTTCTTTAAAAAGTGAATGTAGATATATCTTTAAGTCACTTCCAAAGTCCCAGTCAAATATATCACCCCTCTAATCCAAAAGAAAAAGCAGAGTTGAATAAAGAGGAAATGCAGTATTTATTTAAGGAAAGCAAACACCTTACAGAAGAATATGATTCCTTTCATTTTAAATACTCTTGCTTCTCAGGACTAAGTAGGTTCATTCATTCATTCACGCACCCACTCACTCATCCAGTCTTTATATTATTCCCTGATCTAGACATTTCAGGGGCTTTTCAAAGCGCTTAAAATCTTAGCTGATTGTCATGGCCATTAAGGCCATGTGCAATATGGCCATAATATGGCATGATATGGTCACTGCCTTCCTCACCTCCTTCACTTTTCTCTGCACTGTGTTGGGCCATGCTGGTTCCCTCTTAATTCCTTGATCAAACCATCCTCAGTAGTTCAATGCCTTTGCGTTTGCTTTTTCTTTCACCTGGCTCTTTGTGTGGCTAGCTCTTCTCATCCTCTGGCTTCAATCTGTATGTCTCCCTTTCAAGATGCCTTGCCTGCTACCTGAATCTAAGGTTTGCCCCTTCACTCTCATAATCCTTTATGAGACCACTGTGTTCTGTTCTATTGTAGCATTTCACAGGTTTAAGTGAAATATTGGTTTGTGCTTGTTTGTTATCTTCCTGCCTTATTCTGTCCTGTCTCCACTGTCAAGCACAATTCTTGGCATAAAAAAGGTTTTTAATACCCATTTGTAGAATGAATACATTTCCGTGTTAAAAAAGTGATTGTCAGGTGAGGTGAAGCTGAGAACTTTTTTTTTTTGGGCTGGAAAATTAAACAAGAGCCCAGCTTTCCAATAGTGAGAATGGGGTTTTAGAGCTTCTTCCCTGTGACTTGGCTCCCAGGAGGAGCAAAGGGGAGTTTAACTGCCTGGAACACAGGCATGGCACCTACTCTCCCTCCTTTGCCTTGCTAAGCAATCAGTGCCCTTCCTGAAAGGGTTGCTGTAATCAACTGAGAGCCCACGATGCATAGCATTGGAGTAAGTAGGTAGGCTATGTTACACTTTAATTCAACTCAAGACATTAAAAAAAAGTTTTGTACTTACTAATCTGGGAGGCAATGGTTTTTTATAAGTGGTCCCTATTCTTAAGAGGCTTTCAGCTTAGTTGGGGAGATAGGAAGTATGGTTAGGTAACTATTAAATCAAAATTGGAGAAATTTGTAACCGCAAAATGGAATGAGAAAATTGGACTTTGAATGCTTTAGGACTAAATGTTATTGTCCTATAAAATTGCTCTATTCCTACCAAAGACTAGCCATAATCTCTGATGTGAAAGAACTCATGACTTCAGCTAAGGCAGTATTGTCTAGCAGAAGTTTCTGCAATAAAGGAAATGTTTGATAATCTGTGCCATCCAATAAGGTAGCCGCTAACTACATGTGGCCTTTGAGCATCTGAAATGTGACTAGTGCAACTGAGAAACTAAATTTTTAATTTAATTTATGTTAAATTAAAGTAACCACATATGACTAGTGGTTATTGTACTGAAAAGCTCAGGTCTGAGGGGAAGAACAGAATTTATGTCCACTGGAAGGTACAGCAGAGCCAATTCTAACGAGACATATGTTGAAAAATCTTATTATCAGAAAGTAACTTATTTGGAATAGCACTGTGGCACAATATGTTTATTACAAAATAATAATTCTGAAGACTGTATTTGGACCATCTGTATTACCTTTAAAATGAGATGGCTTAAAGTAATGTTTGTTTCTATTTTTAAAGCATATATTTGTGAAAATACTCCATTTCTTGAGTTTGCAAACTTTGGTGCTGAGACTTCTATAATTTTCAAATGATTGTGATGACAGAAGGAAAAAAGTAATTGGAATTGTAGTTGAAGTGTGTACTCTGCAGAATTTTCTTTCACTAATTTAAATAAATCAACATCTTTCCTTGTATGTAAAATTTTTGAAATAAATACAAAATTGTCTTAAGAAAGGGCTCATAAATATCCATGTACTTTCTGGATATCATTTAGTGAAAGGGCATAAGAGAGAGAGAGAAAGGGAGAGAGTGAGACAGAGGGAGGAAGAAGGAAGCTGTAGAAAGCAGGGTTTTCTGCTAAAATTTGGGAATAGTCTCTAAGATTAGAGGACTGTCAAAGACATAATTTACATAATCCATTTATCACAACCCATCCAACAGTATAATCCAGATCAATAGCCCACCAGAATCTAATCAACCTCCTATAAGGACACAATCATTCACCAACCCTTCCTACCTCACCCAACAAGATCTTAAAAATCTTGCCTCAGCTCCTCTAGAATATTGAGCAACCCTAACTAATTCCTGCAAAGTACTTCTACCAAATCTCACAAAACAGAAGGTCTTAGAGTATTAAAGCTTTTTACAAAGAGAAAACCCCAGCCAATTCACCAGACAAAATCTATCTGGCATCTCAAGTCAAAATTGCCATTACAGAAAATGGAGGCAGTTTTATCTGGACAGACTGAAATAACTTTCCTCCTGTTTTGCAGAAAAAGAGTGATGAGATTTCGAAGAATAATCCTAATTGTGATTATAACAGGATGTATACCTTGTCTGACGTTTAATAATTTGTTTCTGATGTTTTCTTTTTGAGTTTTCTTTGCAACAAAGTTTCTTCATCAGGTCCCATTGGGTCAATTTTGGTCACAGGAAGTAACAAGAAAAGCAATAAAACTTCATACTCCTTGTTGGATTACTTTGTTTTGAGGTGGAATGGCCTTTTGTTATTTTCTTAAATTTGGCAGAGAACATTTACTTGATTCTTTTTTTTTTTTTTTTTCTGAGATGGTGTCTCACTCTGTTATCCAGGCTAGAGTGCAATGGTGTGATCTTGGCTCACTGCAACCTCCGCCTCCCGGGTTCAAGTGATTCTCCTGCCTCAGTCTCCCAAGTAGCTGGGATTACAGGCATGCCCCACCATGCCTGGCTAATTTTTGTATTTTTAGTGGAGACAGGGTTTCACCAAGTTGGCCAGGCTGGTCTCAAACTCCTGACCTCAAGTGATAGGCCCGCCTCAGCCTCCCAAAGTGCTGGGATTATAGGCATGAGCCACCACACCCTGCCCATTTATTTGCTTTTTAAAGAATTCTATAGGTAGAATGAATTCATGACTCTGGGGAAAGTTTATCAAAAGGTAGAAACTGGCATCACGATAGCCAGTCAAAGTACCATCATGAAGAGACTGAACGTGCAAGATGCTGTCTCCTCCCAAATAGACTCACTACTGAGCATGTCTCTGAATTTCTCAAGTGTGTCTGACAGTCTGAGGGACTGCTGCTGCTCCCTGATTGGCAGGTGAGGGCAGGTTGGGAGGTCTGAGGAAGACCCATGCCAGATACCTGAGAACCACCTTTGTGTCCAGTGAACAGATAGGCTAGACCCAAGAAGAAATGCCATCCCAGAGAGCTAGCTTATCTGAAAGTTGTAGTTGTTTTTCCTTTAATAAAGAAGTGGGTGGCCCAAATATCTTTGATCTGCTTGCCTTCTCTTCCCCACCTGCCAGTGTGAAAGGTTCTTAACTTGGTGGCCCGTGTAAATGGGTTTTACAGCTTGTGTTCGTAGCTGAAGGCTTTGATGAGCTGTTTGGTGAAGGCTGTTTTTAGGTGATGATTTTAAAGTGCTTTGGTGGGCATAATATGGACCAGTTTAGATGTTTAATTGGGGCCCCTGGACAGCTGTCGCAATCCTGCCTGGAACTAGGGAGGAAGAAAAAGTAACTAATGAAATTCACGTCAAAAAGTAAACTATCTCGTTTGCTGGAGATCATTACTTATATGAATGACAAAATGAATATTTTATGTTGACAGCTAAATTGGTTATTTTTTTAAAATAAAGGGTTTGGTTCAGTTATAGAAGTGTAAATTTCATCAAAATCTCGTTCAGGAGCTTGTTAGCTTGTTAACAGTTCTCACCCCAAATGCATGCAACTCTCATATGTTACAGAAATACCAAGCTATTGATGAATCATAAGTGGCCAATTAACCCAGATATATTTGGGTTTTAAATAATCTCTCATGTAATTCATTTACTTTTTTTCCCCTAATCTGAATTAGCATGACTAATAAGGATGTCTCCAAAGTTCTTTGATTGTTAAATCAGGTTTTCCATGTGGTGGGGTGGTGGTAGCATGTGGAGTATGTCTCCCAGGAGGCTTCAGAAGGGGTGGAAAGGTGAGCTGGTTCAGTGGGTCACTTTGCAAATTGTCAACACAAACTGGCTTGGTCTCTCTCAAGAGACCAGAACTATGTTTCTACATATGGATGCTAGTTCCTGTTTATAATAGGGGGTTTTTCTTTCTTTCCTTTTTTTTTTTTTTTTCTGAGACAGAGTCTTGCTCTGTCACTTAGGCTGGAGTGCAGTGGTGCGGTCACAGCTCCATGCAGCCTCAACCTCCTGGGCTCAAGTGATCCTTCTCGCTCAGCCTCTTGAGTAGCTGGGACTTCAGGCATGTGCCAACACACCCAGCTAGTTTTCTTTCTTTCTTTTTTCTTCTTTTTTTGTAGAGATGAGGTCTCTTTATGTTGCCCAGCCTGGTCTTGAGATCCTGCCTCAGCCTCCCAAAGTGCTGGGATTATAGACGTGAACCACTGCACCCAACTGGGGAGGTGGGTGTTTCTTTTAACCGTTGTTGATGTATTTTCAAAGTTTACTTGGATTGAGGATCTAACGTAAAAGGCAGATAAAAGAATTGTCTAGGATCCTAAAGTAATGCTCAGCCTGAGCAGGGTGAATCAGAAACTTTGGGCCAACGGGGAAAGGACACCTTCACTATGCCTAAGAACAAATATTTGAAGTATTATAATAGCCACTGATTTTATTATCTATGGTTCAGTTACATGGAGGGGTATCAAGTGCTTCAACGGGACATTGAAATTGAAAATGTGAAGTTACACAGCATATCCATGTCCTTCTGAATATTACAATAGGTTAAATGACACCACCCAACAGAAAATATGTAGAAGACTTAGATGTCACAATAATCAATTCTTGGGCGGTTTGGAAGGCCTATGTGCTCGTGGCCCCTTGGCATTTATCTTGGCTGAAAGGAATCATTGAAGGGGGAATAAGCAGATGCCCTGAAAGAGACACTTAGAGCCACATATGTGCTGAAGGGGAGCAATGTCTAGTTTACAAAAGAAAAGGCTAGGGTGGACAGAGTCACTGCAATTGTTTATCCAGGAGATTTATACCAGGGTAAGGGCAGGGCTGGATCCCAAAGCATACAGAGTCTGAGCCTGAGTTTGAGTCCCAGCAGAGCAACTGGGCAGTTACTTAACATCTCTGTGCCTTAGTTTTCTTGTCTCTAAAATGGGAATCATACCTGTACCTACCTCATTAGATTATTATGAAGAATAAATGAGCTATTATTAGTAAAATGCTTTCAGTAGTGTCTGCACATAGTAAATACTATCCCAGTTTGGGGTGGCATGACATACTTAACAGTTGGACCAAGATTGCTGCTTAGGACAGAAATGGAAAAGATGGATCAAATTGATTTTTCTATCATACTGCCCAGCAATGCAAGCAAACATGTCTTTCTTCAGAGCACATATATGTGTATTCAGCTCCTTGTCCCTGGAGCTCCCCCAGGTGGGGGTTGTGGAGATACAGGTCCTTAAGAGCTGGTGCAGGTTTCCTGAAGAAGCCACCTTTTGGAATCTAAGAGCATGAAAGGCCCTTGGGTTTACATCTGACAAGTGTGAATATCAGGTAACCAAGTAACTAGTACAGTCTGGGAATGAGAACATTAATTCAGGTCAGACAGGTAAAGCGGAGTTAAGCCAGGCTCTACCTCTGAAATGAAAATCTATGCTATTTATAACAGTAACTGAGAGAAAGACAAAGGAGTCAGACAGATGAAGACTAAAACTCTATCTTTATTCCTGATGGAATAAAGATGTTGGATAACACAGTTGAGGGGGTGAAGGCAATGAAGGACTTTCAAAAGCCAGTCCCAGGGTGGGACAGAGTTACCTATCCCAGGAACCACAGGAGAACTGCAGTCAGGATGAGGTGAAGCTGAAAGGAGTGTTCTCTAGGGGAAGGTAGACTGCCAAGAGAGGGGAACCCAGTGACCAAGAGACCCATGCCTGCATCTTTCTCCTAAGTTGGTGGTTCTCAATGTATAGTCCCAGGTTCCATGAGTCAAAACTATTTTTATGATAATAGTAAGACTTTTTTTTCACATTTTCACTGTTTCTCTCGAAAGTTATGATGGAATTTTCCAGAAACTCCATTGCATGTCATATTGCAAAAAGTTGGAATCCAGAAGTTGATACTTAAATTCATCTTCTTTCTCTTAAGTCAGGCATTAAAGAGATTTGCAAAAGTGTAAATCAATGCCATTTTTTCTTACCACAGTTTTGTTGGGAAAATATAGTTATTCTTTCACAAAGTGTTATGTATGTTAACATATAGTTAATTTATTATTGTTATCTTAAATGTAGTTCTCAGTTTTAATTTTTTTGTTTGTTTGTTTGTTTGAGATGGAGTATCGCTCTCTCTCCCAGACTGGAGTGCAGTGGCGTGATCTCGTCTCACTGCAACCTCTGCCTCCTGGGTTCAAGCAATTCTCCTGCCTCAGCCTCCCAAGTAGCTGGGATTACAGGTGCCTGCTGCCACGCCTGGCTAATTTTTGTATTTTTAGTAGAGACGGGGTTTCACCGTGTTCCCCAGGCTGGTCTCGAACTCCTGAGCTCAGGCAATTCACCTGCCTCGGCCTCCCAAAGTGCTAGGATTACAGGCATGAGCCACCGCGCCTGGCCAGTTTTAATTTTTAACACAGCAAACATCAATATATGTTAACCCTCACAACTTAAAGCTTTTAGTAGTCATTAATGAATTTTGAGAGTGCAGGAATTCTGAGAGTGAGAGTGAAAACTTTGAAGATCACTTCTTAAGTAACTAATCAGATGTTTTGCATCCTTCCCTTGTGTGGAATAAATGAGGGGAGAAGAGAAACCAGAAGGTGTTAGTTTAGAGTATTTTCCATCACAGGAGAAGTGATACCCACCCCAATCCCACCCCATGAATAACCCTATTGACAATGGGGTAGCAGATACTTAAGATGGTTGCTCCAATGTTTGTGAATAATGATGCCAGTGGAAAGTAGGGTAAAAACTCTTTCAATTTCAAATGTAGTGACAAGTTCTTTGCCCTTTTTGTGGATAGGGGAATAAGTAGCAGCTATGAATCTTTTGTTTTTGTTTTTGTTTTTTGCTTATCCTCAAATTTATTGGTTTTTATCTTTTGCTTTCTAGGAATAGCTTTTGGTCTATTTTGCCAATGCTTTGCTTTGCTTTCTTTCTTCTTTTTTTAAATTATACTTTAAGTTCAAGGGCACATGTGCACAACATGCAGGTTTGTTACATATGTACACATGTGCCATGTTGTTGTGCTGTAGCAGCTAAGAATCTTAAACTGGATTTCGAGACAGGGAATTGTATTACAGGATAGAAGACTTGTGTAGATTAAAGGGAAGTGTAAGAAGGACCATACATGGCTGGGCACAGTGGCTCATGCCTGTAATCCCAGCACTTTGGGAGGCTCAGGTGGGCAGATCACATGAGGTCAGGAGTTCAAGACCAGCCTGGCCAATATGGTCAAACACTGTCTCTACAAAAATAAAAAAATTAGCCGGGCATGATGGCGGATGCCTGTAATCCCAGCTACTTGGGAGGCTGAGGCAGGAGAATTGCTTGAATCTGGGAGGCGAAGTCTGCACTGCAGCCTGGGCGACAGAGTGAGACTGTCTCAAAAAACAAAAAACAACAACAACAACAACAACAAACAACAAAAGAAAACCATACACAAAAGATGGTAGACCAGGAAAACAACTTCTCTGTTTGAAAATTACCTCCTAAGAATGGCTTAGATATCCTCAAATGCACTGCATTTTTGTTTTCATATTATTCTGTTACCTATGATGCAAAAGCCTCCTCTAGAGACCTCGGGATAGTGATCAATATCTACCTTCACACCAACTTGGGGAACATGTTTTCACACTAATTTTTTTACTTGGTATTTCTTCTTGGTAACCTAAGGTGCTTTGAGATAGGGAGAGAATATGTTTTTAACATTGTAAACTAATGCATATGCTTTAAATGCAGATTGGGAATTGAAACTCATTTGTTGCAGATGTGAAGAAAGGCCAAGTTTTATCATATCCGGATAGCCCGATCCTTGAGGTAGCAGCACCCAGGCATTGTAGGGCTCAGTATTTGTTGCATAAATGATATATTCTGAAGTTTGGTCTCCAAATTTAAATATTTAAAGTGATGTCAAAGTAGCATTCTCCCAAACGTGGATTTCTAAGCCACGAATAATTGAATAAGAATGACTAATTAAATAAATAATAATAACTGAAGGAAATGTTTCAACTTAATATTTTTATTTTTCTCTCTGAAATGACAGGCACACATGCATAGGGGTTAACACACTGACCGCCTACAACAAGGCAGGAATGGTTTTAAGTACAGTACATTGATGCTTAATTCTCATAACTACCCTCTCCACTAGGTTATATTATTATGTCTCTTTTATATATAAAGGAACTGAAAACCTAAGAGTTGGGAACAGGGTCTGAATCCAGGCAACTGACCCTGGAGCCCAACACTAGCCTGTACATGCCCTGCAGTCAGCGGCTGGGCATGTTGGAAACAATTCCCTCTGCTGCACTTGAGAAAGATTGATTCAGTTTCTTTTCATTACTGCGTTCCCTTAGGAGGATGTGATAGTATTGATCGGTTGTGCCAAAAGTTCTTGCAGCTCTTTGGCCGCCAAACGTCAATGAGAGCCTCACTTAAAAGCTCATGATATCAAATCTTCCACTTCAGTTTGTTCCTCTGTAGGCTGGGTACATCTTCACTGGAGTTTCTCAACGCAGAGACACAAGAGTGTACTGGAGCCAGAGTAGAATCTCCACGAAGGGTGAACTCTTCTTCGTAAGTTTCTTTCTTTCTTTCTTTTTTTTTTTTTTTACATTTTCAGCTGTTTTTTTTTTGTTTTGTTTTGTTTTTTGAGACAGAGTCTCACTCTGTTGTCCAGGCTGGAGTGCAGTGGCATGATCTTGGCTCACTGCAACCTCCCCCTCCAGGGCTAAGGTGATCCTCCCATCTCAGCCCCCCAAATGGCAGGGACCACAGGCATACCACCATGCCCAGCTAGTTTTGTATTTTTAGTAGAGATGGGGTTTTACCATGTTGGCCAGGCTGGTCTTGAACTCCTGGGCTCAAGTGATCCGCCCATCTCAGCTTCCCAAAGTGTTGGGATTACAGGTGTGAGCCACCACACCCAGCCTGTATCTTCTCTTTCATCTGTAATGGAAATAGTCTTATTGTGCTGTCCCCCTCAATAATATACCTGATAACATGCTCACTGAAAAAAATTCAAACATTACCAAAAAACCATAAGCAAGAAAATAAATATTAACTTAAATCCTACCTCTCTGAATTTGCAGCATTAATATTTTGGTGAACGTCTTTTCAGGCATCTCTTTATGCGTACAAACACCTACATCATTTCATATAAGTGGAATTATATTACACATGATGTCTTTTAATATAGGACAAATAATTTTTAATTTTTTTTACTTCTTCTTCCTCCTCTTATATTTCTCTCCCATTATGAAACATCTGCCTTTACCCAAAGGAATCCCCATTAATAATCTGTTATATTTTTCTGTTCTTTTTTCAATAATGATCTAAAATATATGCAATGTCGTAATATACACATCATTGCTTGTTTTATAAAATATATACATGGACATCTATAAAGTTATACATGTATATAATATATGAATGCATGTTTGTATATATATGTGATACAAGTATAACAAGATGCATACACATTAAATAGAATAAGGTAGGACCAGATGTATATACATGAAATCTTTTTTCATGTATGTGTATATCTACATAATACATGTACACGTATACACATAATTTTTGCCATTGTTTTACAAAAAGTGAGATCAAATACATTTTTGGCTATGTCTTATTTTTCCCACCTAATGAAACTTCATAAATATTTTGGAAATTGATTGGTATATACCTAATTCATTCTGTTAATGATAACATCCATGAGCTAAAGGTAACTGATACCTTTCAGCCTTACTCTGCATTCATTTTGCTTCTCTCTTGTTTTCTAAATTAATATTTTAAGGTTTTTCTCAGCAACTTAGAAACTTCAAAAATTTTGTTTCTGGTGGAAGACTAGACAAACTAGTTTATATTTATGTTTCTGATTTCTGTTGAAAACATCTTTAATATTATCAGTTGATAGATGAATAATGCAAAATGATTAATATATGACATTTCTTTTGACAGAGGAAGTATTTTTCTTTGACCCTGAAACTGTACAATTTCACTGTAAAACTTGTGTAAAATGCTTACTATAATTTTTTATAAATCACAAAATTAGATATAACCCTCAAGTAAAGAAATGACTGCCTTATTGGGTAAAAAAAAAAGTGTACAAACATTCAAGGGGCCAGTTGTGGCCAGCAGAATTGAATTTCTTATGAATAGGCTGTGTTTTATGAGGCAGACCAGATAAGGCAGGCTAAATGCTTGTAGCTCTGATATAGGATTGCTTTCTCATTCACTGCATCCTATGGCCAATAAGGAGGAGAAACAATACCAGCCAGGGTATTGTGTGTAATGCATGGGGTCTTATTGCTGAAAGAATGGTTCAGAGGAATCTTGGAAATAGCGATCTGAATCTCATTGTGTTTGGGATCAGGATGAAAATGAAAGTGAAACAAGATAGAGCAGAAACAAGTAAACTTTGGAAGGTTTTAATATAATGCAGAAATTGTTTAGAATAGGGTAGGACCAGATAGAAGAAAAATAAGACACAGCAATACAATTTCTCTAAAAGTCATGACAATGCCTAAGTGAATTAGCCAACTAGTAATTTAAGAATTATAACAAGATAAGGGGCACAAAAATAATGTATTACAGAAAATAAGATTAAAATATGTAAGAACATTTCAGCAGTTAAAGGCTGCTAATGGAGAAAGTAAAAACAGAATACAACAAAGGACATTTTAAAAGTCTCCTGGATTTTCCCCCAGACACTAGAAGGCATTGATGAGAATCTTAGTTAGTTCTTTCCCATAGGGATTGCAAGAGTAGGTAAAGGTTGAATTTCGAAAACTGGGATCTGTTTTTCCAAAGGAGAGGGGAAGCAAGCAAAATACCAAAGATGCTCATATTAGACCCAAGGAAATTGATGAGTGAGAGAAAAAGCGAGAGAGAAAGAAAAAGAGAGAGAGAGGGAGGGAGAGAGAGTGGGAATTTTTGGAGGATAAAGACAGAGCATCTACAGGCATACCTCACTTGGAATCAATCTGATGAGTGATGCCTTTAAAATACAGGTGTAGTGGATAAATTTTTTGATGTGCTGCTGGATTCGGTTTGCCAGTATTTTATTGAGGATTTTCATATCGATGTTCATCAGGGATATTGGCTTGAAGTTTCCTTTTTTTTTGTTTTGTCTTTGCCAAGTTTTGGTATCAGGATGATGCTGACTTCATAAAATGAGTTAGGGAGGAGTCCCTTCTTTTCTATTGTTTGGAATGGTTTCAGAAGGAACGGTACCAGCTCCTCCTTGTACCTCTGGTAGAATTCAGCTGTGAATCCATCTGGTCCCAGGCTTTTTTGGTTGGTAGGCTATTAATTACTGCCTCAATTTCAGAACTGTTATTGGTCTATTCAGGGATTCAACTTCTTCCTGGTTTAGTCTTGGGAGGGTGTGTGTGTCCAGGAATTTATGAATTTCTTCCAGATTTTCTAGTTTATTTATGTAGAGGTGTTTATAGTATTCTCTGAGGTAGTTTGTGTTTCTGTGGGGTCAGTGGTGATGTCCCCTTTATCATTTTTTTATTGTGTCTATTTGATTCTTCTCTCTTTTCTTCCTATTAGTCTGGCTAGTGGGCTATCTATTTTGTTAATTTTTTTAAAAATCCAGCTCCTGGATTCATTGATTTTTTTGGAGGGTGTTTTGTGTGTCTATCTCCTTCAGTTCTGCCTTGATCTTAGTTATTTCTTGTCTTCTGATAGCTTTTGGATTAGTTTGCTCTTAATACTCTAGCTCTTTTAATTGTGATATTAGGGTGCCAATCAGAATGACAATTATTAAAAAGTCAAGAAGCAATAGATGCTGGCAAGGCTGTGGAGAAATAGGAACACTTTTACACTGTTGGTAGGAATATAAATTAGTTCAACTGTTGTGGAAGACAGTATGGTGATTCCTCAAGGATCTAGAACCAGAAATACCATTTGACCCAGCAATCCCATTATTGGGTATATACCCAAAGGAATATAAATCATTCTACTATAAAGACACGTGCACATGTATGTTTACTGAAGCACTATTTACACTGTTTACAATAGCAAAGTCATGGAACCAACCCAAATGCCCATCAATGATAGACTGGATAAAGCAAATGTGGTACATATACACAATGGAATACTACGCAGCCACAAAAAAGAATGAGTTCATTTCCTTTGCAGGGACATGGATGAAGTTGGAAGCCATCATCCTCAGCAAACTAACAGGAATAGAAGACTAAACACCACACATTTTCACTCATAAGTGGGAGCTGAACAATGAGAACACATGGACACAGGGAGGTGAACAATATACACCAGGGCCTGTTTGGAGGTGGGGGGGTGAGGGGAAGGAACTTTGGGTGGGTCAACAGGTGCAGCAAACCACCATGGTGCATGTATGCCTATGTAACAAACCTGCATGTTCTGCATATGTATCCCAGAACTTAAAGTAAAATAAGAATAAAAAATAAAATAAAATAAATATAGGCATAAAAAGCAGATATTGCAGGTTCAGTTCCAGATCACTGCAATCAAGTGAATATCACAATAAAGTGAGTCATGAAAAGTTTTTGGTTTCCAGTGCATATGAAAGTTATGTTTACGTGGCCAGGTGTGGTCATGCCTGTAATCCCAGCACTTTGGGATTCCGAGATGAAGTAGGGGGTTGGAGGGGATTGCTGGAACCTAGAAGTTGGGTTCTCATACAGTAAGACCGCATCTCTATCAAAAATAACAAAAAATTACCTGCATGTGGTGGCATGTGCTTGTGGTCCCAGCTATTCAAGAGGCTGAGGTGGGGGAATTGCTTGAGCCTAGGAGGTCAAGGGTCCAGTGAGCCACTATCGCACCACTGCATTCCAGCCTGGGTGACAGAGTGAAACCTTGTCTCAAAAAAAGTGTTATTTTTATACTGCACTGTGGTCTATTAAGCGTGCAATAGCATTATGTCTAAAAGAAAATGTACATACCTTAAAAATGTTTTATTGCAACTAGATATAATAGTGTGGACCTGAAGTTCCCACTACTCAGTAGGTCGAGGAGGAAAGATCCCCTGAGCCCAAGAGTTTGAGGCTGCAGCAAGCTATGATCACACCATGGCACTCCAGCCTAAGCGAAAGAGCAAGACCTTGTCCCTAAAAAGATAATTTAAAAAACCTTTATTGATGAAAATGCTAATGCTTATCTGACCCTTCAGTGAAAGGTCTTGCATTGATGTTGATGGCTGCTGACTGATCAAGGTGGTGGTTCCTGAAGGTTGGGGTGGTGGTGGCAATTTTCTAAAGTATGACAATAAAGTTTGCTGCATTGATGAACTCTTCTCTTCAGGAAAGATTTCTCTTTAGCATGCACTGCTGTTTGATAGCATTTTGCCCATAATAGAATTTTTCTCAAAATTGGAGTCAATTGTCTCAAACCCTGCCACTGCTTTATCAACTAAGTTTATGTAATATTCTAAATACTTTGTTGATATTTCAATAATGTTCACAGCTTCTTCACCAGGTGTAGGTTCCATCTCAAGAAATTACCTTTTTTTTGGCCCATCCATAAGAAGCAACTCCTCATTCATTCACATTTGATCATGAGATTACAGCAATTCTGTTACATCTTTAGGCTTCACTTCTAATTCTGGTTCTTTTGCTATTTCTACCACATCTGCAGTTGTTTCCTCCACTGAAGACTTGAACCCTTCAAAGTCATCCATAAGGGCTGGAATCAATTTTTTCCATACTTCTGTTAACACTGATATTTTGACCTTCTCCCATGAATCATGAATGTTCTTAATGGCATCTAGAATACTTTCCATAAGGTTTTCAACTTATGTTTCCCAGATCCATCAGAAGAATCACTATCTGTGGGAACTATAGTCTTATGAAATGTATTTCTTGATAATAAGACTTGAAATTCAAAATTACTCCTTTATCCATGGGCTACATAATGAATATTGTGTTAGGAGTAATGAAAACAGCATTAATATCTTGGTAAATTTCTATCAGAGCTCTTGGGTGGCCAGGTGCATTGACAGTGAGCAGCAATATTGTGAAAGGAATCTTTATTTCTGAGCAGTGGATCTCAACACTGAGCTTTAAATATTCAGCAAACCCTGCTGTAAATAGATTTTCTGTCATCCAGGCCTTGTTTTTCATTTATAGGGCACAAACAGAGTAGATTTAGCATAATTCTAAAGTGCCCCAGGATTTTTGGAATGGTAAATGAGCATTGGTTTCAAGCTCAAGTCATCAGCTGCATTAGCCCCTAACAAGAGAGTGAGTATGTCCTTTGAAGCTTTGAAGCCAGGCATTGACTTCTCCTCTCTAGCTATGAAGTCCTAGATGGCATTTCCTTTCCATAGAGGCTGTTTTGTCTGCTTTGAAAATCTGTTGTTTAGTGTAGCCACCTTTATTAATGATCTTAGATGGATCTTCTGGATGATTTGCTGCAGCTTCTACATCAGTACTTACTGTTTCACCTTGCTCTTTTATGTTATAGTGATGGCTTCTTTCCTTAAACCTCATGGACCAATCTCTGCTAGTTTCCAACTTTTCTTCGGCAGCTTCCTCATTTCCTTCTGCCTTCATAAAATTGAAGAGGGTTAGGGCCTTGCTCTGAATTAGGCTTGGTTTCAGGGAATGTTGTAGCTGGTTTGATCTTCTATTCAGACCATCAAAACTTTCTCCACATCAGCAATAAGGCTATTTCACATTCTTATTATTCATGTGTTCACTGGAGTAGCACTTTTGATTTCCTTCAAGAACTTTTCCTTTGCATTTACAACTTGGCTAACCCTTTGGTGCAAGAGGCCTAGCTTTCAGCCCATGTTGGCTTTCAACATGGTTTCCTCACTAAGCTTTATCATTTCCAGCTTTTGACTTAAAGTGAGATATTTGTGACTCTTCTTTTCACTTGAGCACTTAGAGGTCATTGTAGGGTTATTAATTGGCCTAATTTCAATATTGTTGTGTCTCAGGTAACAGAGAGGCCCAAGAAGAGGGAGAAAGATGGAGGAGTGGCTGTTTGATGGAAGAGTCAGAAAACACACAACATTTGTTGGTTGAGTTTGCCATCTTATGTAAGTGTGGTTCATGGGGCCCCAAAACAATTGTAATAGTAAGATCAAATAACAGAGTTTACAGATCACCATAAGAGACACAATAATGGAGAAAAAGTTTTTCTTTTTATATTGTTAGAATTGTTAGAATATTGTTAGAATTACCAAAATGTGACACAGACACATAAATATGTGCCAATGCTATTGGAAAAATGTTATCTCTAGACTTGCTATACCCAGGATTGCCACAAGTCTTCAATTTATAAAAAATGCAATATCTATGAGTACAATAAAGTGACACAATAAAATGAGATATGTCTATATTCAGTGTTTCATCAAGGGTAAATTATTGTCTAACAGAGAAAAGAAATATGTATAAAAAGAAGGTCTCAGTGTTTATGAGGAGATCTTCTAAAAGTTTAGTTGAGCTTTACATCATAAACTAGAATTTTGGGCACAAAATTCTGGGCACATGAAAGTAATGAATAACTAGAATCAGCATGTCAACTATGTTGATTTTATTTTGCCAATTTGGAGCCTCAAAAACTGGCAGTTATTACTCAATGAGTGTCAGCTGGTGAAATATTTACTTTCAAAATTGTGGTGGCTACTTCATGTAGATAAAGGAGTAACTATTACAAAAGCTTAATTATAGTAACCTAAATTATGTGATAAAATCTGTTTTAATAAATTAAACTATGATGATTTTAGCTTTATAGGAAATTTATGATGGTGTTAGTATCTTATGAAAAGATATAAAAATAACAATTTAAAAAATGGGTGTGATATGGCTATCTTTGATTCTCTGGCTTACAGAGAATAAAACAAAGGAGAGCTATAACCACATATACAAAATGCAACATTCATAGTCAGTTTTGTTTAACCTTGTGTGAAATCTACCTCAATTGCTATTGAAAGTTGAGAATGGCCTGTAACAGTTTTTAAACCATTTTAGAAACAAGTAAACATGAGTATACATCTTAAATATAAAACCCAAGGTAGCATTAAAGATGACAGTTGTAGAAAGAAAATAACAGCTTTTGTGTAGATATTTTAGCATGTAATTTTCAGCACACAATTCATATAATCAAAAGGCTTGAGGTGACCTTGAGAGGTCGTCAGGCCCATGCTTCTGCTATTATAGGGAATAGTTAACATAAGGCACTGTGCAATGATAGACAGAAACAGGTAAGTTAAGGGCAATATTACTCCCTTGTCTAAAAATAACATTATTTTCATTGAGTTTCAATATAAATCAATGGCCTTTTAGCAAATACATAGCTCTTTTGGAACTTACCCGAGTCTTGTAATTTTAATCAAATTGTATTTAGCATTCTAAATAGCAATTGTGTCATCATGTGGTACAGAGAGGTGGTTTAATGTAGTCATCAGGGAGATATATTGAAATAAAAATCAAATTTAAATGATGAAATTTTCAGAATTTCTTCTAGGCTTAGAAAGACTTTGTATATGGCCCCTGGCACTAAATTTGATCATCTTCTGCCCAAACTCTTATTGGAGATTAGATTGTGAATCTGCTTTGCAATACAGAACATTTCTTTGAACACATTTTTGTAGGGGAGAGTCTTAGTCTGTTTTGTGTTGCTGTAACTGAATATCTGAGCCTAGGTAATTTGTACAGAGGAGAGGTTTATTTGGCTCATGATTTTGCAAGCTGGGAAGCACCAGGGCTATGGTGCCAACATCTACTCAGCTTTTGTGCTGAGTCAAACTACAGTGAAGGGTCAGAATATGGTGAGAGGTCAAAGAGGAAGTGGACATGTGTGAAGAGGCAAAACCTGAGGGGCATCCCAACTTTATGGAAACCCACTATTATGGGAAGTAACCCATTCTCGTGGGAACTAATCTAGTCTTGCTGGAGCAGGAACTCACTCACTACCTGCAGAACAGCACCAAGCTACCCAGGAGACCAGCACCCTCATGACACAAACTCCTCCAATCAGGCCCCACCTGCAAACACTGCTGCACTGAGGATCAAATTTCAACATGCGTTTCAGTGGGGACAAACAAACCATGTAGAAACCATAGTGAAGAGTTTCCTTTGCATATAATCAGTTTGATGCTAGGGATATAAAAGGCAGAGTGGAGAAGGATCACAGAGTATCCCTCCTAATGTTTGGACAAAAAATGTAAAGGGTCTGGCCTTAAATTCCCAACAGCAGTCAAGTAAACAAAAGGGTTTATTTTTTATTAATAAGCTTCAAACAGTAGTGATGAAAGAAAAAAATGGAAGATTCTGGTGTATAGAGAGGTGTTACTCCTTATTTTGCTTCTAGTCTTCAAGAAGCAGTACGGAGGAAAGAAGATGACTAAAAAACAAGACAGGCCAGGCGTGA
The DNA here is from genome assembly GCF_000001405.40 of Homo sapiens. Classification (NCBI taxonomy): domain Eukaryota; kingdom Metazoa; phylum Chordata; class Mammalia; order Primates; family Hominidae; genus Homo; species Homo sapiens. The sequence goes on along the minus strand of NC_000006.12, from coordinate 98,757,587 downwards.
TTGCTCAAACCCTGTAATCCCAGTGCTTTGGGAGGCTGAGGAGGGAGGATCTCTTGCATGCAGGTGTTCGAGACCAGCCTGCGCAACGTAGCAAGACCCTTTCTCTACAACAACAAAAAAAATTAGTTAGGCATGGTGGCATGCACTTGCCTAACTGGCTACTTGGGAGGCTGAGTAGGGAGGATCATTTGAGCCCCAGAGGTCAAAGCAGCAGTGACTTGTGATCACACCAATGCACTCTAGCCTCTGTGAAAGAGCAAGTCCCTGTCTCAAAAAAAAAAAAAAAAAAAAGGAAGGAAGAAAGAAAGGAAGGAAGGGAAGGAGGAAGCAAGAAAAACAAATGTGACAATTCTCCCTAATATCCTATTTTGAAGAAAAGTGAACTGAGAAAATAGAGTGGTTTTACCACATAAAGTCAAGGAAAAACTCTCTAAAGCAGAAAACCTATGTATGATGGTAGAAAATCCGGTAAGGAGGATCAAAAGACTGTCCTTGTCATTCTTCCAGGGGATTGGGAGTGTGGGACACATTCTTGACTAAGTGAGATGACTGTGAAAATGGACATTGAATGGGATTCATCACAAGAGCCTGGCACCCAGATTCTTCTGCAGAAGTTGCACTCAAGCTCAGCAAGTGGTGCCCACTGGCTTACGTGATAGTTAACTTTATGTGTCAACTCAGCTAGGCTATGGTACCCACATATTTAGTCAAATATTACTACAGATGTTTATGTGAAGGCCAAAGTATAAATAACACACAATCAAATATTATTCTAGATGTTTCTGTGAATGTTAATGAGATTAACATTTAAATTAGTAGACTTTGAGCAAAGCAGATTACCTTCCATAATGTAGGAGGAACTCATTCATTCAGTTGATGATTTTAATAGAAAAAAGACTGGCCTCCTGGAGGAGGAAAGGGGGATTCTGCCAACAGACAGCCTTTGGGCTCTAACTGCAACTCTTCCCTGAGTCTCCAGCCTGCTGGACCATCCTGCAGATTTTGGACTTGCGAAACCTATAATAAATCTCTCTCTCTCTCTCTCTTCCTCCCTCTAAACGCAGACGCACAGACACACACACATACACACACACACACACACACACACACACACACACATTATTTGGTCTGTTTTTCTGGAGAACTCTAATACAGCTTAGTAACATCTCATTTCTTGCAGACTCAAACACAGATGCTCCTGGTTATCACACAGCCTTCTACTTAGTTAATTAGGGATCCAAGCGTTTCCCATCTTATGGCTTTTCTAAGTTTTAGGGCCATCTTGTGGCTTTATTAAGTTCTAAGACCTTGTGGCTTTATAAGTTCACTGGCAGACATGGGGAGAGAGAGGGAGAGAGAGAAAGTCATTCATTCATGGGAGGTTTTTTTTTTTTTATAGGCTGGACCTAGCACCAGTGCACCTCATTTCGCTCATAGTCCATTAGGCTGAACTTGGTCATAGCTTAGCCAACTGCTAGGGAGGCTGGGAAACATCGTGTATTTTTGTGCCCAGGAGTACAAGAAAATGAGCTTTTGTGAACTCAAAGCGTTCTCTGCCACACTCTCTTACCTAATTCATAGATTTGCTCAAATTATCAAATGTGAAAGTGCTTTGAAAACAATCAGGTCTTACATAAATGCGTGCTATTATTATCATTATTTCAAATGTTAAGGTTCTGCGAAGCAGACTGATTTTTTAATTGCTTGGTGAGCTCAGATATAAATAATCAAGAAATATATTCAACGTGGAGCATTTGAATGGACTATTTAAAATAGTATTTATTGTTCTTACTGATGATAACATGCCATGTGTATTGTAGAAAATATGCAAAATAGAGAAAAGCATAACAAAAATACCAAGCATTTCCAATCTTTTTGTATGCACAGTTTGTACAATTGAGATTCTCTAGGTTGTAACAACTCTCACTCACACTGGTTTAAGGAGAAAAAGGAATTTATTGGCTTGTGGAACCAAGCAGGGCAAGGTCTCTCTCTAGCTGTAGACATGGTTTAATCCAGGGGTTCATGACTACAGCAGGACTCTGGCTTTGCTTCTCTGTGATTCTCTCAGCTTTGTCTCCTCTTTGCACTGGCATTGGCCTCAGGCTGGCTTTCTCATGACAGCAGAAATGACTGTAGTAGTTCCAGGTGGCATGTTCTTATACTCTGCTAACCAGAAGGCAGGATGGCTCTTTTAGTTGCTTTTTCTGAAGAGCTATGAAGTTATTTTCTTTCCTTCCCAGAAGCTCCCTGAAAAATCTTGCATCTCCTTGGTCTGAATTGGATTGTGTGCCCATCCCTGATCCAATAGCGAGTGTGGGGACTTGTCAGGCCAAATAAGGCTTACCCTAGGACCTGGGTGAGGAAGCAACTTCTTGCTGAGCACATAAACCCATAGGGAACGCTTGGGTACCTGATGAAAGTTGGGGAATGTTATCAAGAGGGATGGGGGATGGCTATTGGGTAGTGTAAAGCAGCAAATGCCTACCACACACCCATAAACACGCACATACCCACACCACTTTATCAGAATCAGTATTATAGTGTACATATTTTTTCTTTTATGGCCTGCTTTATTTTTTTCACTTAAGGATACACTACAATCATTTTATCATTTGTTAAATACTCTTAAAAATACAGCTGTCAGAGACTTCTCTTCTATCCTGTGGGTTTTCCAAAGTTTATTAATAATGCTATTATTAGATATATGGGTAATTTCCATTTTTTTGTATCATACTGCAATCCACATCCTTATGAATGTTTTGTGTATATTACTAATGATCATAGTGACACTTTTCACAACAATTTTAGATTAATATTATTCACACTGAGTTTAATCTGCCAGTCATTCTTACAGCATATTACAAATTTCATAGCTAGTCATGAGACCTTGAACAAATTTCTTAGTCTTTTTGCGCCTCACATGTAAAATGGGTTTAATAGTAGCATCAGTTTCATAGTTGCAGATTGAATGAAATGATGCAGCTAAAATTAGTACAGTATATTCTAAGTGCTCCATTATTATTTATACATTACCACCACTCCCTTTTAGCACCTGGCTGAGCAGGTTCTCAATGACTATTAATCTGGTGAATAAATGAGGTAATATTTGATACTTGAAATACCTAGCTAGTCTTAATGTCACATTAAACTTTTTCTTGTAATATTGTATAATTGAATCTTTAAATTTTATACCTATTATTGGGGTTTTTTTGAAAGTAACACCATTTCATTTCACTAATTTTATAGATGAGAATGTTTGTGGGCAAAGAAATGAAAGAATTACATGGTAAGTTCATAGCCAATATCTTAAGCCTGTTAAATTTTATACCTATGTAAGTAAGTTTTTCCCAAGTAGTGGACTAGTCAGTTAAAAGACAGGATAATTATCTTTTACCACTGATATTCAGTTTCAACAAATTCTACCACTTCATTTTATTTTCAAATAATATATTTCACAAGTCCAGAAAGAGTGACAGCTAGTGTAGATTAAAAAATAGGCAACTAAACTAGAAAGTGAAAGTCTAAGAGGACACGAAGCAGGTATTAATAGTAGTTTACTTAATTTTGTAAAGTGAAAATTAAGCTACTGTATGAATATATAAATTGTGGTATATGCACAGACTGGAGTACTGCATGGCAATGAAAAAACCTACTTCTGCAAGTGAAAACATGGATGAACCTCCAATTATAACATCAAACAAAAAGCAAGACACAAAAGAGTATCCACTGTTTGACTCTATTTATATGATGCTCAAAAACAGGCAAAATTAATTTGTGGTAGTGGAGATTATATTAGTGTTTACATTTGGGTAGTTTTGTCTGGGAGTTTTCTAGGATCCTGGAGATGTTCTCTCTCTGTTTCTGCGTGGTGGTTACACAGATGTATTTATATGGGAAAAAGTCATTGCCCTATGCACTTAGGATTTATGCCTTTTTCTATTTCAAAGTTATACTTCAATACAAAGTTTAAAGTCTTAATTAAAAATATTAAAATGTAAACATGCAAATAGGGAATGCTAAAAATAAACTTAAGGAGATGTAAATGAAGTTTGCGGTGCCGTTGAAAAAAATAAGTTACCTTAAGAAAACATTTCTATAATGTCTTAAAACTTTGCTGAAATAGAGCAAGTCAATAATATAATTTCTGTGTTGTAGCTATTGGAACAGAGGCCTAGTATAATTAAATGAGACACCTAGTGAGATAATGGATGTGAACGTATGTTCTAAGATATCAAATGCTATACATATATTAATTTAAAAATGACTGGAAGTAATGGATCTAGGCAACGATTATCAATGGCTGCTGTAAAGTTTAGGTTGAAGACTCATGGAAAACTATAACTAATGGAGAGGCCTGACAACAGCCAAGCTCACAGATCAAGCTTCAGTCACAAAAAGAGAAAGCCATTTATTATGAATCTCTTGTTGTGATGTGGAGGGCGTACACTGCACGTTCTATGAAGCATTCTTGCTAAAAAGTTGAGTTTGAACCTGATTAAGGATCTGGCTCTTCCTGCCAGTTATCAGGAAATATAGGGGATAGACAGACATACTGTACTAACAACATGGCGGGTGTGTATTCAGCCAAAACTGGGATGTGTGAAACTTTCTAGGGAAAGTGACCCTATTTTTTAAACTAATAAATAGTTGAAGGAGAGGGTAAAAAGAAGAACAAGGAAGATTGTGTTATCACAGGAGGTCTAAGGAATAAGTCAACTAAATGCAATGTATTAACCTCATTTAGATTCCGATTCAAACTAAGCAAAAAACATTTATGAGACAGAGACATCTGAATTTGAATTAGATATTAGATAATACTAGGAAGCTGTTATTACTCTTTTAGGTGTGACAATCATGTCAAATCCCTGTTTAAAAAAATGAGTCAGGCTGGATAAAGCAAATGTGGCACATATACACCATGGAATACTATGCAGCTGTAGAAAAGGATGAGTTCGTGTCCTTTGCAGGGACATGGATGAAGCTGGAAACCATCACTCTCAGCAAACTAACACAAGAACAGAAAACCAAACACCACGTGTTCTCACTCATAAGTGGGAGTCAAACAATGAGAAAACATGGACATAGGGAGGGGAACATCACACACCGGGGCCTGTTGGCGGGTGGGGGTGCTAGGGGAGGGATAGCATTTGGAGAAATACCTAATGCAGATGACAGGTTGATGGGCGCAGCAAACCACCATGGCACATGCGTACCTATGTAACAAACCTGCACGTTCTGCACATGTACCCAAGAACTTAAAGTATTAAAAAAAAAAAAAGAGTCAGGGCCTTATCTCTTAGGCATGCATATTTTCAAGTATTTATTAATGAAACAGTTTGAAAATCCAATGTGTGTGTGGGCTGGGGTATAGATGAAACAAATATTCACATGTTGATAGTTTTGGATGCTGGGTAACAGATATAAGAGCGACTTTTACTATTTTCTAAACTTTTAGTATGCTTAAAAAACTTCAGTCAAAAAGTTAAAATTATTTGGATCTAGTTGAACAATTTGAGACTGAAATTTTTAGGAAATAATGTGGGAAGAAAAGGTTTTCATTCCAATCTTTGAAACACGACATGCCAAATTCTTACTTTTATCTTCATAGACTATGTTAATATACATTTAGATACATTAAGTATGTACCAATATGATTTCTGAGACTAGATCTCCTTCCAAATTACTTGTGTACTTTAAACAAACTGACACCACACCACTTATCAAAGACGGTAAAAAATTAGTTGAAATAAAACTTTTAAAAATATTGTATTCCTTTATAAAACTAGGGGTTTACTGTCTTCATTCTTTATTTTTTATAAGAGCTTTCGATGACTCACATAATTTAATGATGTATATCCTACTGACACATTTATTTGGCATTCAATATGGGTAAATTCCAAAGAAAAAATTATTATCTTTTTGTCTTAAGTATTATAATAAAATTATGTGGCATTTTCACTGGTGGCTTCTCAGCATGCAGATTCCAATCCACCCAAAATCATTTTAATAGTTACTGATTTTAGAAAAAGCTATAAAGACCCATGCACACATATGTTTATTGTGGCACTCTTCACAATAGCAAAGACTTGGAACCAACCCAAATGCCCATCAATGATTGACTGGATAGAGAAAATGTGGCACATATATGCCATGGAATACTATGCAGCCATAAAAAAGAATGAGTTCATGTCCTTTGCGGGGACATGCATGAAGATGGAAACCATCATTCTCAGCGAACTAACACAAGAACGGAAAACCAAACACCACATGTTCTCACTCATAAGTGGGAGTTGAACAATGAGAACACATGGACACAGGCAAGGGAACATCACACACTGGGGCCTGTTGGGGGTGGGGGGCTAGGGGAGGGATAGCATTAGGAGGAATACCTAATGTAGATGACGGGTTGATGGGTGCAGCAAACCACCATGGCATGTGTATACTTATGTAACAAACCTGCACATTCTTCATATGTACCCCAGAACTTAAAGTATAATAATAATAATAATGATAATAATAATAATAATAATAAAGCAATCAATATACCAACAATCCAAACAGTCAGATAGATAATTCTTCACTGGTAGGTATACACTACACAATATTCTTGCTTGGCTTTGGGCAGGGTCAGGTTTGGGGCTGAACAGTGTGTGTCTCCTTACGGGAGATGCTTGGGCTGAGTTGTTGAGGTTAAGTCTGTTTGCCAGAATGTTGCTGCATCTACTGCCTTTGAATGTCCACCTGGCATGGATTGAGTGTAGAATCAGGTTTAGCGGTTTTGGAAGGGTTGCTGAGAAATGTTCTTACTTGTCTTCTCTCTCTCCATTCCACCATTAAATCAAAGCTAAAAACTTGTATATTGTGGTAGAGATGCCAGTCTCTACTTATGGCTGAACCTGACAGGTATAGCAGAAGTTGCATAGAACAATTTAAAGGAAAGCTGGCTTTTCTTCTTCATTACTTGCTTCCTTTCATTCAGAAATGAAGTTATCTATTATATATATTAATGTCAGTTTATTAAACTTCTTTAAACAGAGTGTATATTCAATCTTTTTTTGCATGCAGAATGCATGGCCTTAGTGTGTGCATTTGCATTTTCACTCAATTAGCCTATTCTCAGAAATAAGCCTAAAATTCATGTTTAGGCTTAGTTTTAGTTTTCATATCATCTAAATATTCAGGAAGAAAATACTAAGGGTGGTATTTTTTTGTTTAATGGATAATCACAAATTGAAATTGTTAGTGAAATTGCATTAGATTTAGCCTCAAATTACTCTTAAAACATGCATGACCAAAGGACTAAAGATATAAATAGCTTTGATTATGGGCCAAATTCTGCATAAGTTTATTTTGTAACTTGATATCTTGAAAGGGAAAAATTTTAAGTTCAATGGACCAGGCTGAAAGTAATGAGACTGGTATTTTTTGAAAGCATAAAAGATCTTAAATGTTTACCCAAGCATTATTTACCTTTGAAAAAGCCATCTTGAGAAGTTTATTTAACTACAATTATCTAAAATATGTTTGGAGTCTTTCACAAGTCATTTTAAAGTCACATAAAAATGAATCTTATTCTATATTATTTTTGAATAAAATGGTATTAATCAGCTTATTCAAACTTATTTACAAGATTTTGAATACATTTTATATCAAAAAATCAAACCCTCACTTCAAGAATAAAAGTTCTTCACCATTGAAAATTTACTCAAATGAATGTGCAACTAGACTGTGAATTCCAAATATTTAGGACAGTGGCAGCAGTGTTACAGTGCATTATGGCCTTTATAGGGGGCAGTGTGTATTTGGATATAAAATTTTTGATGAGCTTGTTAAAATCTGTCATGAAACTGAAGTCGTGGGTTCTTAGAATTTTATGTAAATTAATTTTTTGCCAAGTTTACTGATTTTAGTAGACTATGTCATGACTCTCTAAAATTCTAGGTTTAGACTTGGAAGGGTCAGTCCTACACTCATCTTTGTTTTTTATGTTAGTTCTTGTTTGTATTTTTTGAAATAATTTCATGTACTTAAAGACAAAGGTGATATTTATTTATTGTTTTAGGAAAGAGATTTTAGGGTCAAAAGGCACACCCAATATGAACAATTAAGTCTATCACTATGCATATGTAAGTATGAAGTACCAATAAGACCAATAATATTAGGATTCTGGATGTTCTGCTGCAGTCATATAAATGTCAGGGTTATATAAGGTTGTCAGGTTCATGGAAGAGGAAGAGAGGACTTATACACCGTATTACTTAGGACCTAGTCCAGATTGCAAGTGACAAAGAACTGAGTCTAAAGTAGATGAAACCAAAAAGCTATCTTATTAGCTTAGGTAATGAAGTGGTCCAGAAATACTGCTTAATCATGGCTTAAGGTGATCAAGACCTGGGCATCTTTCCATCTATTAGCTCTGTTTTCCTCTAAGCAATAACATTCTTCTCAGACTTCATTTGGAGGAAAGGTGGCAGTAACAGTTCTATCCTCCATATTTCAAGTTTCAAATCCATCTGGGAAGAGTCCTTTCTGTGTTCCAAAGGCTCAGTGAAAGTCACATTGGCTCTGATGAGGTCATATGCCTGTTGCCAATCACTTTTAGGGGAATGGGATATGCCAGTTGGTCTAGGCCAATCAGGACCCATTATTGGAACTGGCAGCGGGGTTAATCCTGCCCAAATACATGTGTGGAGAATAGAGGCCGGGTTGTTCCCCAAGGCTTATTTGGAGTATGGGGGCTGACTGGCAGAAACGACAGATGTCCCCTACTGGCACAAACATCTATCACACTTCTACTTTTCCCCAGGCAGTATGCTAGTGCTTTACATACATTACTTTATGTAGCACACACAGTGTTTTTCTTTTTGCTATGCTGTCCCATTTGCAAGATAGTCCTGAAGTCAATGTGTGTGTGTGTGTGTGTGTGTGTGTGTGTGTGTGTGTGTGTTTAAGAGAAAGAGAAAGAAGAGAAAAATTACTTCTTGGAGTGATATAGAGCTCCCAATCTTATTTAAGTTGATTCTTTCACTTTGTTTTCCAATGGAAAAAAATTTGTCTTGTAACATTATTATGTGAATTGATGACCCACTATATTAAAGATACATAAAGCTAAGTAACAACATTTGACATAGGTGGAAGTAGATAGCTGTTAGCCGCTATGTCCTGCCCCTTCCCATGAATTCCCTGGTACTGCAGAGAATGGGTGACACAATTTCAAAACTATTTATATGTAACATACTATTCAAATATAAGGAAAAATCATCATTTTGTATCCATTCTACTGTCCAGCACAGAGGCAGGCACCAAACAGAATGATAATTGTTCGCCAATGTTTTGAAATGTAGATGTAAAATTTTCTGATTCATAAGCTATGTACAGTTACTGTGACTTCAGCTTGCGTGACTTCAGCAGCTTGAATAGATCTTGAGGAAGATTAAGTAAAGTTAGGAAGGTATTATCCTTTGTGGCTGAGTCAGACATGGGACAGGAAAGAGACAGTTACTGAGGAAAGCCTCTCTCCCTCTTATTTCTTGAAAAATCTGCATTGCTTCCCACTCCTTCACGTTGCTCAGAAGGAAGGATAGGCAGAAGGAAGTGGAAGGGATGCAATATTGCCCTGCTATGTATAAAAAAATTAAACAACAAAATAAATAATGACAAAGGAAGAGTTACATTTGTTGGACTGAAAAATATCTACTCTATCAAAAACCTTTTAGAAAACTTTATGATCATCTTAAAAGTGATACCTGCAGTCAGATAAGCTACATGTTATAAAAATTGGTGTAGTTTTCACATTTCCACAGTTTTTTAAGTTTATTATCTTTAAATTATTCTAATGGTGCTTGTGCTGTGTTTGTGATGTAGTTTCTCTGAAATCAAGCATTCTCCACTCCTGGACACATATTCAATCCAAGAGGTAATCTCTGAGAGAGGTAAAGTTTTCTTTCAGGGCTGTAAACCAGTCAAAATTCACAAAAAGGAAGATTTAAATTTCCACATTGGGAAGGGAGTTGTTAAAGCTGGCTTTTAGAGTGATGAAACTGCAATGTGGTATTCTGAATACATTCTCTGTTATCCCCTCCCCTCCCTCCACTCTCTCTGTCTAAGGACTTGCATTTAGAAACTGGTAGAATGTTGTCTGCATTAACATTGCCTCCTTTCTCCATTGATTTTTGTTGTGAATAGGCTTCCTTGAATTCATGGTCATCTGCATCTTTAGGGTTCCCCTAAGGGATATTGGATTTCCTGCTTCGAGGACTAATCAGAACCATTAATCAGCCATGAAAATAAGCACTGGCCTATAGAGGTCTAAGGCCTGAAGGAAATTAGGACTGGCTTATTGAAAATTAGGCAGTAGGTATAGAATAAATATAGTTGTTTATGAATATTATGCAGTTCCGTAAGGAATTTGAAGTGGCAAAAGAAAAAGATTTTCAATGTTTTTGTGGGTTAGGGGTTCAAGTCCTTCTTCTGGAATGAGGTAGAGGCTGCAAGGAGGTGCTTACTTTCCCTCAGTCTATGAACAGGGCCACATGCAAAGCCACAGGACCCGGGCTTTGGCCTCAGGCAGAATGGGTGAGAATCTGTGCTTTGCATGCCGTAGACTTGCTGTACTCCATTTCCACATATTTAATTAAATCATATACTATATTATTCTAATCTTTACAATCATTTTTCTCAGAAGGTTGTTGTAGGGATTAAATAATGCAGCATATATCACAAAATAGGAACTCAAAACTGCTAGGTCCTGACTTAGTTTGAGTTTCTCCTGAAGCACGTCTTGCACCATGAATTTGAGGGTAAGAAGTTTTTATGGGAAGTTCAGGCAACACTAGTAGGGAAGTGAAGGGAAATAAAACAGGGAAAAAGGGTAGTGAATAAAAGGAGAGCGATCACTGTGGGCAACTGTAGTTTAAGCACACAGGAGATTTTGGGAAATGGTACAAAGTACTCATCTCAGAATTACTGCATCCAAAGGCAGAGGGAGCTGGGGTATTTATACAAGTCTTGAAAGTTATTACTTAGGCATGTTCTCAGCAGATATTAATGCCTCAGTATTTTCTTTTTGTAAAAAAAATTTTAATGAGTAGTTTTTGGGGATTAGGTGTTTTTATTTTTTTTTGTTTTTTACATGAATAAATTGTTTAGTGGTGATTTCTGAGATTTTGGTGTACCTGTCATGCGAGCAGTGTACATCCAATATGTAGTCTTTTATCCCTCACCCCACTTCTACCCTTTCCTGCCAAGTCCCCGAAGTCCATCATATTATTCTTACGCCTTTGCATTCTTATAGCTTAGCTCCCACTTATAAATGAGAACATACGATATTTGGTTTTTCATTCCTGAGTTACTTCACTTAGAATAGTGGCCTCCACCTCCATCGGAGTTGCTGCAAAAGCCATTACTTCATTCTGTTTTATGACTGAGTAGTATTCCACATTTTCTTTTCCACTCAGTTGATGGGAATTTAGGTTGATTCCATATTTTTGCAACTGCAAATTGTGCTGCTATAAACATGCATGTGCATGTGTCCTTTTCATATAATGACTTCTTTTCCTTTGGGTAGCCAGTAATGGCATTGCTAGATCAAATGGTAATTCTTCTTTTGGTTCTTTAAGGAATCTCCACACTGTTTTCCATAGTGGTTGTACTAGTTTACATTCCCACCAGCAGTGTTAAAGGGTTCTCATAACCACATCCACGCCAACATCTATTATTTTTTGATGTTTTAAATTACGGCCATTCTTGCAGGAGTGAGGAGATATCTCATTGGGTTTTAATTTGCATTTCCCTGATAATTAGTAATGTTGAACATTTTTTGTATGTTTGTTGGCTGTTTGTATATCTTCTTTTGAGAATTACCTATTCATGTTCTTTGCCCTCATTTTGATGGGATTATTTGCTTTTCTCTTGCTAATTTGAGTTCCTTGTAGATTCTGGTTATTCGTCATTTGTGGGATGCATGGTTTATGAATATTTTCTCCTACTCTGTGGGTTGTCTGTTTACTCTGCTGATTATTTCTTTTTCTGTGCAGAAGCTTTTTAGTTTAATGAGGTCTCATTTATTTATTTTTGATTTTGTTGCATTTGCTTTTGGGTTCTTGGTTATGAATTCTTTGTTATGAATTCTTTGCCTAAGCCAATGTCTAGAAGAGTTTTTCTGATGTTATGTTCTAGATTTTTTATGGTTTCAGGCCATACAAATTCAGATTAAGTTTTTGATCCATCTTGAGTTAATTTTTGTGTAAGGTGAGGGATAAGAATCCAGTTTCATTCTTCTACATATGGCTTGCCAGTTATCCCAGCACAATTTATTGAATAGAGTATTCTTTCCCCAGTTTATGTTTTTGCATGCTTTGTCGAAGATTAGTTAGCTGTAAATATTCGGTTTTATTTATGGGTTCTCTATTCTGTTCTATTGGTTTACCTGCCTATTTTTATACCAGTACCATGCTGCTTTGGCAACTATAGCCTTGTGGTATAATTCAAAGTCGAGTAATATGATGCCTCCAGACGTATTCTTTTGCTTAGTATTGCTTTGGCTATGTGGGCTTTTCTTGCTCTCATATGAATTTTAGGATTGGAACATTCTCCAAGGTAGAATAGACCATATGATACGCTACAAAACAAGTCTCAATAAATTTAAGAAAATCAAAATCATATCAAGTATCATCTCAGGCCATGGTGGAATAAAAATGGAAATTAACTCCAAAAGGAACCCTCAAAACTATGCGATACATGAACATTAAATAATCTGCTCTTGAATGATCTTCTGGTTAATGATGAAGTCAAGATGGAAATTAAAAAATTCTTTGAACTGAATGTTAATAGTGGCACAACTTATCAAAACCTCTGGGTTACAGCAAAAGCAGTGCTAAGAGGAAAGTTCATAGCATTCAATATCTACAGCAAAAAGTCTGAAAGAACACTAATAGACAACCTAAGGTCGTGCCTCAAGAAACTAGAGAAACAAGAACAAACTAAATCCAAACCCATCAGTATTTTCGTATACTTCTAGATTTCTCTTTGTGGGCAGCACGGCTTTCTATATTCTAGGAAAATGAGTCCTCAGGCCCAGAATGTAGATCCTAACAGTCAGAAGGTGGCTGGGGCCCACTGAGAGTTCTGAGTTCTGAGTATGGACAGCTTCCTGGGTTACTGATATCATATGCAGGTAAAGGTGCTGTATTTATCCTGAAGAGCAGAGTAAATATGGAACCTCCCAAAACCACTTTATTAGGAAGATACTTGAAAATGTACTCTAAAAAAATCAGGGGGTAACCAAGAACAAGAAATCATAGGATTCAGGAAATAATAGAACCAACGTAGGAAAGTTGTGAAGGGGAGTCTTAAGATGAGAGCAAAATGGCATGCCTGGTGAGCAATCAGTCTAGGTTAGAAATGAAAGAGCAACAATCTTGGGAAGGAGATTACTGGATAAAGGGAAAATGAATATAATACACAACTAGATGGAGAATTAGAAAAATGAAGATAATGACACAGACTAATAGTTGCTAGAAAGGAAAACAGTGAGAAATTCCAAGAAAGAAATAGCCGTCAATGAAACCAAATATAATTATAGTTTACTACTTGTTCTTTCCAATGAGCAATATTTACATAGTCAAATTTCCAACTTCCAATGTACAGACAATCCACAAGACCTAATTATGGTATCAGAATGTAAGTATTACCAGCAAAGGTAGAAGGAGTGGAGGGTGAAGGAAAGCTAAAGGGAAAGAGAGTATTAATATTGTTTTCTTCCAAAGTTGGGAGTCGAAGTATGTCTATGGATGTTGGAACAAAAAAGTGAGAATTGTAAATATATCAAGTATCTTCTCAGACCATGGTGGAATAAAAATGGAAATTAACTCATTCTCTCTTGGAAACAAGGAGAAAGTCACTTCCCAGTTCTTTACTTCCTATGTGACTAGTTCTTATGTGACTAGTATTTCCACTGGGTTGAAGCATTTAATTGCTAGTAAGTTACTTTCTCTCTATCTTCCACTTTCTTTGCCAATGACCAGGAAGGAGGTACTTTACACCTGGTATGGTTCCGCCATTGTCAGTCTGAGTGGCCAAAGAGCAGACACTGCTGTTGAAATGCAATGGACATGGGCTATGAATGTGAAGTAAAGCTTACAGTGTTAAGTCACTGAGATTTTGAGGTTGTTTGTTGCCGTAGCATTGATTTTCCTATCTTAATACTGACACGAATACTACTTTTACTAGAATTACTTTATAATATTCATAAAATGATAATCTACCTTGAAATAATTCTGCATTATAATGGTTTAGGCATGTAAGAACAAGGCAAAAATTATAACTGTTTTACTTTAATGTATTCATATAGAACATTTCATTCCAAATATAAAACATACATATTTTTCCAATGGTCTCAGATTACTATACCACCTCTAAAATGGGCTTATTACCCTAAGTCTTCATTGAAAACACAATTTTGAATTTTAGTATGTCTTTAATTTAAAAGAAGTTTTCTTTAATATGTTTATTGCCAATATTAGTTTATTATCCAATGATACATTTAAAATTTCCACTTTTATCATAACACTGATAACTAAAAGACTAAAGAAAAACAAAAATGGTTTTAAGACTATCAGTACTAAAAAGAAGATGAGAAGTAATGTATTTGTTACTTAGTACTTTTACAGTGTACAGAAAACCTCTTATCAGTGAACATTCATAGTTCTACAACCTTAATTTATGTGTATAATATCTTTTTTCCATTACTAGTATTTAAAAGTTTTACAATTTTTGGTCTTCTTCCAGTGAATTTGTATAAATGTTGACTTTCCTAATTTTGGAAATTATATGATATTTTGACACTCTTAGTGACAAAATACTACAGTCAAGCTAATTAATATATCCATCTCTTCACACAGTTACCATTTTGTTTTGTGTGTGGTGTGAATACTTCAGATCAACTCCCTTAGCAAATTTCAAGTATACAATACAGTATTACCAACTATAGTCCCCATTCTGTACATTAGATCTACAGAACTTATTCATCCTACATAACTAAAACTTTATGTCCTTTGACCAACATTTTCCCATTTCCCCCACCTCATTTCTAAATCCTAATGTCTTGCTCGCAGTGCTATTTCTTATTGCAATTCCTCCAAGAGTTGTCCTGGAATTGTCCAGGTGAAGGTATATTTTATTGCCTCATTCCCATTTTCTTGAGTAGACCCTTGACATCGCATGGGAAGAACCATGACTGGAAGACACAGCTAAGGTTGGAACATATTGACAAACCAGATTTTTAAACTATTATGTCAGTTTGTTGGGAAGTTTAAATGTTTAATGTCAAGTTTAATGTTAAGCATAGTTGCATACTTTTCACAAAAGCAAAACTTAACATCATCTGATCAAATGAATACAAGTAAATTTATTATAAATAAATCTGAATTTATTCAAAAGTAGCTCTTTGAATTTACTTTTATTCACTTGATCAGATAGTTGTTACTTAAAACTAGTTACTTACAACTATCTGATCAAGTGAATAAAAGTAAATTCAAAGAGCTACATTTCATGAATAATTGACTAAGCTTCTGATATTAGTGTTTCTATGTATAAGGGAAATGGGATCTGGCTTAGATTAGTGTTTATGAGGGTGTGTGCATGTGTGTATGCATGCATGCATATGTTCATGTGTGTAAACTTCTTTCTTCCTCTGGCTACCACAGCACTTTTCCAATCTATGATGAACAGTGTCACTGACTTGCTGGCCAGTCCACATTTTCTCCTATGCTGTCGCCTCCTGGAAAGCCAATATCCTGTCTTAACTTCTTGTCTCAACTTTGGGGATTACAGGGGCTAATATATCTTTTCTTAGCTTAACATATATTTTCTAAGTTTATGTATCATCCTTTGTACCCCTCCTCCATGAACCCAGTATGTCCTATTTTGTCTCTCCAATTTATTTATAAACATTTTTTTTTTCTTCTCCCAGGGCTTACTTTCTAACATCATTTTCGATTTTGTTCCTCCCTGTCCCAGACCCAGACTTCTCACCCTATGGCCTGTCATACACATTTACACTCTTCCTGCCTTTACACCACTGTCTGTTTCTACTCTCCCTTTTGCTTCCTGCCTATTTAGTCTGCCTGCCTTAGATCACATTACTACTCACGTATTCTAGTGGTTGTAGTTGGTACTGGTGGCCTTGATCCTTAGGGCCATTTTATCTGACATTGTTTCTGCCTTTCTCCTTATTTGTATTACTCCATTCTCATGCTGCTCATAAAGACATACCCAAGATTAGGTAATTTATAAAGGAAAGAAGTTTAATTGACTCGCAGTTCTGCATGGCTTGGGAGGCCTCAGGAAACTTACAATCATGGAGGAAGCAGAAGCAAACACGTCCTTCTTCACATGGTGGCATCAAGAAGTGCAGAGCAAGCAGGGGAAAAGCCCCTTATAAAACCATCAGATCTTGTGAAAACTCACTCACTATCATGAGAATAGCAGCATGGGGGTAACCACCTCCATTATTCAATTACCTTCCACCAGGTCTCTCCTATGACATGTGGGAATTATGGGAACTAGATGAGATTTGGGTGGGGACACAGAAAAACCATATCAAAGTTCATGACCTCTTGCTTCATTTCTTGCTGACTCCACCCTCCAACTCTCTCACCTGGAGGAGTTTATTCCAGTCATTGATGTCTGCACCTTTTTTTTTAAAAAAAATCGTTTTCTCTCCCTACCCACATATTTTCTGCTGTTGCCCTTAGCTTCATTTGCGGCTTGTCCTTAGCTACGTGGCCCCTCTTATTAATCACTCCTTGGATTCTTCAGACTTGCAGTTTCTTTCTCTCCATCATGTTACATTGTATTTTGCTACTTGACATCAGCTACTAAGTCACATATCCAACCTGGACCTTCAGATTTCAAGGTCATGATTCACCTCTGCTAAGATAACTTCAGTGTGGCAGCCGAATCTAAGCCTAGAAATTCAGGAATACAAGAAATATAAAACAGGTGAATCCAGTTTCACTTGGCACTATAGGATGCTCCTTGGGGCTAAATCCCTTTCTCTTGGACACAACCCACAGTCAATGCTTCTCCATAGTCTTTCCATTGGTTCAGGGCTTTACCCTTTAGGCTTTGACTCACCTTAGCTTCTGTTCTTCACTCTTAATCCTGAACTAGAAGAGCTTTAATTGAGCAGAATAGAGAGTTGTAGTGACTGGGTCTGTCCTAGATTCAGGTTACTACTTGTCAATATTTTTATTTCCCACTCCACAATTTCCCAGGATGTCCCCTTTGTTGTTTAACCAGATATTCATCTATTTATAATTCTCTGCTTCCTTTCAAATACCAATTGGTGATATAGCACCTGGTGCATGGTGGATGCACACACCTTGTTTGTGAGAGATATCATATATTTTCTTGATTATCTTCCTTTTCTAAACTATCCTGTAACCTTTCTTTCCAATTTCCAACTGTATACATTTCCTAGGGCTCTTAATGGCTATTTGCTCTTATCTCTGCTAATGCTCTGGGAATAGACAACTCCTGGTTTTATGGTCTTGTTCTGTCACCCAGGCTGGACTGCAATGGTGCAATAGCTTATGATAGCCTTAAACTCCTGGGCTCCAACAATCCTCCCACCTCAGCCTCCTGAGCAGCTAGGACCATAGGTGTGTTCCACCATGCCCTGGCTAATTAAAAAAAATTTTTTTGGATAGATACATGGTCTCGCTATATTGCCCAGCCTGATCTTGAACTCTTGTTCTCAAGCAATCCTCCTGTCTCAGCCTTCCAAGCACTGTTGGGACTGCAGGCATGAGCCACTGCGTCCAGCCGTGATCTATATTTCCAACTCTCTACTGAACATCTTGGGTGACGTGCCTAGACTTTACATTCAAAATATCCCAAATTTCAGTCATGACATTTCCCAGTTCAACTTCCAACCTAGTTGATTTTGCTTTGAGCTGGATCACCATATAGGTATGTGATGATACCTATGTCACAGCTTATTGGCTGATGGAAATGAGACAATGACGTTAAACTACTTAGCACAGTGCCCAACACATTGTGTATGCTCAATATATTTTTGCTACTGTTAGTATGTAAATGAGTTAAAAGGCTTCTAACTACCTGTATTTGATTATATGACAGTATAGTGAGGAGAAGATATTTTCTTGGTGGCATCAGTGATTCATTAACAATTAAAACTAGTTCATAACATGGGATTAAATAAATGTAAGCTATATAAATAGGGAAATACCAAAAAAATTTATAGGAAATATTTTAGAAATAACCTAAAGACCTAAATGTTTTCAGATAATTATTGTTTGCAGAAGACTAGCATTGTCTGTTCTAAATACCAAATATTTGTTGCTTTTCAGATTGAAAGTTTAATGGCTAAGTGGCATTGAATTCAGTCAGCATAACCATTATTTACTTACTCTAGCCTTCACAGCTCAGTACATTTTGGTGGAAAAATCCAAAGCTACTCCTTCAATCAGTATACAACAGCTTAAATTCGGCATAGGATAAAATTGGCAACTTTAATCTGAATTTTTAAAATAAAAGTTAGAGACAGGGAGAGCTAGAATCTTCTCTGAATTTTTGTTTCAGATTTGAATTTTGATCTTAAGTTTGTGGAGTGCAGAGGGCATTCTCTACTGCTACCATCAAGGTCCTTCTTCTCAGTCAATTTTATTTATGTAGAATCTTTCATCAAAAGATCACAAAGAGCTGTCTAACCAGCTATAAAGAAACATAAATCAAAAAAGAAAATGAAATGCTCAAACAAAAAAATTATACATTAGAGGCCCATTTAAAGCAGAGCATTTTAAGATGAGAGAAAAGTCTTGGCTGGAGTATACAGAACATAAGTTATAATGGGAAGCTATTTCATAATTTGGTGAAAAATGAAAAAGGCCCACTTCTAATAGTGGAGAGCCTATTATTAGGAATGATCAGTTGCATACCAGTGCTTTAATGAAGGGGGTGAAGAGCATAATAATGTGAAGTGGAATTGACAAAGTACCGAGGCACTCTTCTTGCTGCACCACGGAATAAAAAATAAGAATTTTCTATTCCAAAAATAGGCACTGTGCCCAAAGTATCATTCTCTTTAGCATGCCTATTGCCTATTGCTATTGTGCCTTTCTCAGAAGGCTCTATGCTGAAGTCCCACAGTACGTATATAATATACATATCATATTTATGATATATATCTACCACACAGGGGTCTTAAGGAAGCCAAGAGGATCTTTCAATCTCTGCTGTCATCTTTACTTGCTTCTTCAGCACAGATTAATTCAGTGTCCCCCAAGTCTCAGGATATCCAATTTATGGTCTGAAAATATTCATTTTAATGTCCCCAAGTAGAGGGAAAATGTAAGAATTTTGTAATACTATTGCTCTAACAAAAACCAGCAGAAGTCTTCTTCGCTTACTTATACAGGGAAGATAAAGATTTTTGAGACATCAGTCTTTTGTTTTATTGACATTAAAATAGATATCAAGAAAATGTCATTTAGCATAAAGTTTATAACATTCAGATTAAATTGTACATTCTGAATTTTAGAATTTCAAATATCTCTGTTTCCATTCCCCTTTTGCTCAAGCCTGACTCCGATTCTTCAGATAATTTATTTTATGGCTTGAGGATTATTCCTGCTAACTTATGTAAGAAAACTTATACAAAGTGTAATATTTACACCTTTGTAACAGTTAAACTTCATGTTCAAAGCCATGTATGTTCTTTGCTTGCAATATATGTTAAGCTTAAATGATAATGGTAGTAGTATAAAATTTTAGCCTTTTATTTGTTTATGATCTAAAGAGTATGTGGTATATTTTTTCTGTGCTCCCTAGCAATTAAGAATTGCCAGGTAATGGACTAATATGCATGCTAAGGAAGTAGGAAGAAGAGAAGAGAGGGAAGCAACATGGCCAAAGGATTATCTCTGCCACTTGGGATGGTCTGCTTGAATTGGTGACATTTGAACTAAGACTCAAATGAAGAAAAGGAGCTAGCCACATATGTAAAGAAAGTAAAGAGCTCTTAGCAGAGGGAACTGAATGTGCAAA
The DNA here is from genome assembly GCF_000001405.40 of Homo sapiens. Classification (NCBI taxonomy): domain Eukaryota; kingdom Metazoa; phylum Chordata; class Mammalia; order Primates; family Hominidae; genus Homo; species Homo sapiens. The sequence continues at coordinate 98,737,514 of NC_000006.12, read as the reverse complement.
GAAAGGAAAAATATTCAAATGTTTCAGGCACCGAAACATTCAGTAAACCTGAATGTTGCCAACCTGGTAGGGAATTTGGTAAAAATGAGAGTTTATAGGCTATGCACTGCTCAGGTTCTTGGCTGCAAAGAGTAGAAGGCAGTTGCTATTGTCTGAATCTGTCCCCCAGAATTTGTGTGTTGGAAACTTAATCCCTAATGCAACAGTTCTGGGAGGTGGGGTCTTTTGGGAGATGTTAGGTCATGAGGGCTCAACCCTCACGAGTGGATTAACGCTACTATAAGAAGGGCTTGGAGAAGATAAATCACTCTCTCTTGCCTTTCCAACTTATGCCATGTGAGGATGCAGCAAGAAGGCCCATGCCAGATACCAGTGCCTTGATCTTGTACTTCCCAGCCTCCAGAACTGTGAGAAATAAATTTCTGTTTTTTATAAATTATCCAGAAAGGCATTTTTCTATAGCAGCACAAAACAGATTAAGGTAGCAGTGATGGCTATCTTAAGAAGAAAGGAATTTATTATAAGGTAATGAATTGCAGCCATAATTGATGGGAAATAGGGAGAAAGAAGTTTGCCAAATGAACAGTAACCAAGAAAGGGTAAAAAGAGTTACAATGTCTTCAAGGTACTGCTAGTGTTTGTGTCTTCACTGGATAGTTAATCCTTCTAATTGATGTTAACAAGGAAGAATCTCATACTTATGGCTTTCTCTCAAGATTCAGAATTCCACCTGCAGCAGCCTAACTGGCTATGCTTAGGTCATGGGTGTGTGCATAAGCTGCCAGTTGGTGGAAAAGGAATGCTTGGAAGGCTCACACAGTGGGGATATCCCTCCACACAGGAAAGGAATTTGGGTATTGGGCAGACAAATAGCTACCAGCTAATACACAGAAAGGAATTTAGGTTTTATGTAGGTGCAATAGGAGTCAATAACAATTTTTTGGCAGAGACGTAGCATAGTTCTATATTTTATATAAAGATCACCTCAACTTCTGCTCTGGAACACATCATGGGATAAATGAAGTAACACTCTAATCTTTGTCATAAAGAAGAAATATAAACCCCAGATAGTTTAAATATAATGTCTATAATAGAATAATTCCCTTTTCATATAGTAACTTGAATTTAAAACTTGATCAACTAAGGTATAAGTGCTTTGAATTTTTTTTTTCTTTTAGGTTTTAACTGCCTCTAGCTTCCCATCTTTTCAAAGGTAGAAATTGAGGAGGGTTTAGTCATGACCTCCACTTTGACTCTGGAGGACTAAAGCAGGAGATCAAAGAATAAAACTGAGACTATATAAAGCACTGAAGTCAACACTAAAAACTTGATAATATTTCAGTAAAACTCTGAAATGATACTGGACAGATTTTTTTTTAAACAAAGAACACAAAGCTACAAACGAAGCATTTGGCCTTGTGAACACTGGTATATTAAAAACTGCTACTCTTTCCATTGTTCGTCCTTTGAAAGCCATTTTGGAAAAGTAGAAATAATTTAAAATATTTTTTTGAGTCATAGATTTTCAAATCACTGCAGATGTGATACACATTCTTAGTGGATGTCTTAAAGGAAAATTCCAGTTTAGAAAGGACTGAAACTCACTGCCCATTAGTTTCCCAAAGTGAACAATAAAGAAATCATTCAGAAAGGAAAAAAAAAATCTCAGTTTTTCTTAATAGTCAGTGTCATAGCAGTAAAATTCAGGTAGCTGAAATATTTTAAAAGCACAGGGTTACTAACCCTGACATGATTTAATGAATTTGCTAAATGATTAATAATTCATAAAAGTCTTTTTGTAAGAAAAAATGAAAATTTCACTGAATGTATGCTTGAGATAAAAATAAATGGGAGGCATTTAATAAGAGCAGCTCTTGCCAGAAAGGCAAGTCAAGTTATAGTGTGATATGTAGCTCATCTTACCACACACACACACATACACCCACACTCACCCCTGATTCATACAGCAAATTAGTAGTGCTTATTTGATCAATTTATCAATTGTCCTTCTGACTGTAGTTGATAGAGCCAATTCAATTTCCATTTAGGAAGAGGAGGAAAGAAAAAGACCAAATATTTGTTGAATGAGTTCTCAGTGCCAGGCACTGTGCTTGCTTTATATGTGTTTTCTTATTTAATCCTTATGATAACCTTCCAGGTAGGGATTGCTGCTTGATAGGCAAGAAAATTAATGGCTCAGAGTAATTAAGAATTTTTGCAAGGTCACAGAGTAGTATGTAGGCAGAACCAGGATCCAAACCATCTGTGATTAACTCAATTTATACTCTTTCTGCTATATAATGCAACCTCTCAGAAAACATGTTTATTGAATTTTAAAATTTAGCTGCTGTAGTTTTAGAGTGTGTGCTTGTAAATTAGATCAAATCATATGAAAATTCTAACATTAGATTGTTTCTGACCTACAAAAAATAGCAATATAAACATTTTCACTGAATCCATAAAAATCTGCAAATGATGGTAAATACTCCATTGCAAATAATGATGAAATTAATTTTGCCTTCAGTCATTATCTGGTGATACCATTATATCCATTCAAACAACAGTAGTGTGTAAATTCTAAACATATTAGAATGATTGTGTGCAAAAGATTATGCACAAAAGAGACTTTAAGAGACTTTTTAAGAGACTTTAAGGAGTGACTTGCAAAATATAAACAAGAATTTAAAACACCAAGAGATAAGTTAAAGTAGGTAAATTAAATCTCTCTGATTTGCCCATGGTAACCACAGCATTACTGAACATTAAGCATGCTTGTGTGAAATTGGCAACTAAACATCACTCGGACACAAATTATCAAACCCATTAAGTTATTAAAATGATAATTTAAAACATATTTCCTTGGAACTACAAAGGTTAAAAACAAAAAGTATTAGATACATTTTTAAGGTGGATCTGATTGAATATTCTAATGTAAAAGTACTAGATGATAAACTGGTAAAGTACATTCACTTTTCTGATTATGTGATTAAATACAGCAGCTTTGAGTAAATCATTCATCCCAATATGAATGCAAAATTATTGTATTCTGTATAAAAATTGACAGATGAAATTTACAATGCATTTTTATACATCTTAAAACTTTTGAACTAATGAACTATATGAGTTATTGGCATTAAATTGGAATTAACATAATGGAGAAGAAATGGTTTTATTTGTGTATAAACTGACACCCTATTATTTGAAGCTATATATGTATTGGTTGTCATTCTCATCAACTCTGAAGTGCGAAATATCAATGCGTTTTAGTTTTCCAAGACCTCAGAGCATATACTAATGATTAAAGAAAAAATTTAAATATTTAATTTATCAAAATCTTATTCAATATAGGCATGCCTTGTTTTACTGCACTTTATTTTCTACTGCATTTTTTTGTTTGTTTTTTACAAATTGAAGGTTTGTAGCAAACCTATGTTGAACAAGTCTATTGGTGTCATTTTTCCAACAGCATGAGCTTACTTCATGTACTCTGTAACCGAAACAACAAAGCCTGGATGATAGCACATCTGTTTACAGCATGGTTTGATGGAAATTTTAAGCTCACTATTGAGAACTACTGCTCAGAAATAAAAATTCTTTTCATAATATTGCACTCATTAACAATGCACCTGGTCAACCAAGAGCTCTGATGGAGATTTGCCAGGAGATTAACGTTCTCATTCCTGCTAACACAATATCCATTTTGTAGCTCATGGATCAAGGAGTAGTGTTGAATTTCAGGTCTTATTATTTAAGAAATACATTTCATAAGACTATAATTGCCATAAATAGTGATTCTTCTGATGGATCTGAGCAATGTAAGTTGAAAACCTTCTGGAAAGGATTCACTGTTCTAGATAGCATTAAGAACATTCGTGATTCATGGGAAGAGGTCAAAGTATCAACATTAACAGGAGTTTGGTAGAAGTTGATTCCAGCCGTCATAGATGACTTCGAAGAAATCAAAAATTTAGTGGAGAAAACAACTGTAGATGTGGTAGAAATAGCAAGAGGAACTAGAAGTAGAAGTGGAGCCTCAAGATATGACTTAATTGCTACAATCTCATGATGAAACTTGAACAGATGAGCAGTTGCTTCTTATGAATGGGCAAAAAAAAGGAGATTTCTTGAGATGGAGTCATCTCCTGTGAAGATGCTGTGAACATTGTTGAGATGAAAACAAAGGATTGGAAATATTATATAAATGTAGATGATAAAGCAGTGGCAGGGTCTGGGAGGATTGATTCCATTTTTGAGAAAAGTTCTACTGTGGGTAAAATGCTACCAAACAGCATTGTATGCTAGAGAGAAATCTGTCCTGGAAGGAAGAGTCACTCAATGCAGCAAACTTCCAGTGACCATTAGCATTTTAAGCATTATAGTTAAAAAAATGTTTTTTTAGAGACAAGGTCTCACTGTGTTGCCCAGGTTGGAGTGCTGCACCATGATCACAGCTCACCACAGTCTTGAACTCCTGAGCTGAAGTGATCCTCCCCCTTCAGCCTCCCAAGTAGCTGGTACTACAGGCGTGTACCATCATACCTGGCTGTAGTAAAGTAGTTTTAAATTAAGGTACATATTGTTTTTAGACATAATACTATTGCACACTCAATAGACTACAATATAGTGGAAACATATCTTTTATATGCCTTAGGTGACCAAGAAAATGGTATGACTTGCTTTGTTGTTGTTATTTGCTATATTGCAGTGGTCTGGAACTGAGCCTGCCGTGTCTCCCAGGTACACCTGTGCCTACTATGTGTTATCAGGGATTCAAAGATTAGTAAGGCATTTCTTTTTTTTTATTTGTTGCATATATATTTAGGATTGTGATATTTTCTGGTAGACTGATTGTTTTATCATTATAGAATGTCCCTTATTGTGTTCTCCAAGTGTTGTTGCTTTTTTTTTTTTTTAGCAAAATCACTTGATTTTTTTTATTTCACAGTCCTTAAAGAGAATCAAACAAGTTTATAAGAGACCACTAGAGGTCTTTGCATTAGTGATGTATCATTGTCACTCCATTAGGACTTACTTCCTAGTCTCTAGGATAGTAAGGCATTTCAAGGAAGTTTCAAGGAGCTAAATTGTGAAAATGTGAATACCTTTGTCTTTCAAAGGACACCTTGTTTTCATCTCAGTGAGGAAATGCGAGAATCATTGGAGGCATTTTCTTGGCATACATTAAGAGTTCAGGAAATACTAGCTTTTTAAATTATCATATCTGGTTGTGTATAATATGAGAACAAATCCTTTTTGGTGTTTGGACTCCAGCAAGGGTCAACATTGCCCCCACCAAATTAAGCCCTATTATGATTAGGAGGGCCTAACACTGGGAGAGACCTTAGAATGAAAAAAGTAAAATGGAATAATTTTTTTTTAGGGTCAAATATGTGAAACCGTCATTAACATTGGATAGTTTTAAATAAAACAAAGTGTTATGATTGTTGTTTCAAGCTATATATGTTTTTGCATAGTGGACTTGAGACAAGTGCCATATTAATCACTTATTTTGTCCTGGGATGACTTGAAGGAGGGCTAATTTAAGGCGACCTAAAAGAAGTCAGAATTTAGCTTTGTACCAATGCTGGAGTGACTTCTGGGTGTCTGGTAAAATTTCTGATTTTGTTGTAGAAGTTTTAACATTACTGTCTCCAAAAGCCACAAGTATAGACACAGTTTGTGTACATACGTTTTGATTTTTGATGTTGTCATATGTGTGGCTAGAGAGACACTGCCTGAATTTGTCTTCTCCATGAATGGTTTTGGGAACCAGACAAGGCTGGGGACTCAGAGGACATAACTCCCAGTGTGATCATAGAGATGCCACTTAGAACACAGATTCCAAGATTAGGAGAGTCAGACTTCCCCAAGCATACATAGTAGAGTGAGAACTGGGTGTTCCTATGGGAATCACAACCATGCTTGGGGGAATTCTGGGGTCCTGGGAATAGAAAAGTTTTCCTTTGTCAGGCACTGTCCAGAATTCCTAGTTAAGGGTCCTTGTAGAAATTTTCATTCCTGTGCTTAGAAATCTGGCATCCTCTGGTCTTCTGTCTTCTAGTGCAATATGTTTCTCTGTAAAAGATTTCTCAGAAACCTCAGTCAGAAGTTGATGGCCTTAATGTGGTAGAAAATTGGGTTGAGTATATTCTTGCTTTTCCTCTTTCAACTTCAGTAGAATAAGAGCTCCTCTTTGGATCATGATTTCTCTTTAGAAATTTATATGGCAGTGTTTTCTTGCTTTGTCACATCATGGCACATAAAAAATGATATTTGTATATAGCCCTTTGAGGTGAAGTACTGAGGCTGCTCATAGCAGGAGACGATGAAGGTCTTGCCCATTCTCTCTGAAGACTGAGGAGACCTATAACCCCAGCATATCCATTCATAGCTTAAAGGTTGGCAATTTTTGTTTTAGGGGAACTATGTCTAGCTTGCAATTATAATGGTGAATACATACTTTGTGCCATACCCTGTTGTATGCACTGTATGTGTATTACTTCACTTAATGTTTACGACAACCTCACAAGATAGATATTATTGCTATTCCAATTATATATGATAAAAACAGAGGCATGTGAACACTAAGTAACCTGGCCAAAGGTCATACAATTGACAGAACCTAAATAGGGACCTAAGCAGTCTGGTTCCAAGACTGCACTCTTAACTCCTACATTATATTGCTTGAAGAAAGCAGCCACAAGGAGAAAGTCTAACTAAGCCAATAACTTATGTAATATCGAAGCCAAGCCTCGTGGGTCTCTAATGATTTGAGATTTTGGGCAACAGAAACATTTCACCAATGGCAGGCATCGGACCAAGCCTTGGATTGAAATTTAGAAATCTTAAATTCTTTTAAAAAATGTTTTATTATAGAACAATTTATTATCAAATTTACATGTATGTAAGGTAACATCAAGGTAACAAGAAAGTTTGGACAGAATTACATTCAAATTTATGCAGTAAAGTGGAAGAAAAGAACAATGAAAACTTCTCTAATCTCATTGAGAGATGAAAGGATGGGCTTGGTGATGGAAAAAATAAATACTTAATGCACAAAGTCATTTCTGAATTTAGGGGCAGGGATATGAAAATTGTGTCCTTGATTTTTGAGCATAAAACCATTGACCTTCAAAAAGAAGTGGAAATTTGGCAGAGGATCTCTTTTATACAGTGATTTTTATCTCAAGATAAAAAGGGGGTCCTCAGGTCAGCAGAAGCTCCAGACCCAGAGGGAGACAGGGAAAGGGGTTCTTGACCACAGAGAGATGGTTCTGTTCCTGGCCTGGCAGAGAGAGGCTGCTTGAGTTCCACTTGACTCTCCAAAAGAGGGCTGAAGACAGTGTGTCAGGACTCCTCAGTGAGGGAGCTGGGCTGGGATTAGTGACTCCTTTTTTTCTACCATTCCCAATGACAAAGAAATAATCAATCTGGAAACCTAAGTCTCTCCCTCTCAGCTCTTCAGTCCTGCAACCATCCCACCTTGGAGACCTTATTGCTCCATGCAGATAATGATAAGGAAATTAGAGAGGACAGGTTATGGTTGATAAGAGATAATATAAATAGTTGATAACTTAAAGTGAGTTAATTAGAGTCTAAATTGCTTCAGTCTTAAATTAGGCCTGAGGTTTGCGCAGAAACAATTTCCCTTGAGGGTCATCAGATGGTTGTGACAGAGACTAAACTGACCTGCCTTCTTTCTCCTGAGCACACAACTAGACAAAAGCTCTCCTGCAGTTAAGTGTGGTCCCATGACTGCACTGGCTGTTGGGCTGTGCGAGGGAGTGGGGTCTGCCCCTGACAGGACAGGCCCATAAACAATGCCTTCCCAATCCTCCTTGCTCATTGCTTGCTCTCTTTCCTGGTCTTCTGGTCAAACAAGAAGATCTGACAGTGGACTTTAATTCCCTAGGGAATGACAGTCACCAGAAGAAAGGTACTGGGTCATTGGATCACCACAAGGAAGAAATCCACTGCACTGATCAGAATACCCAGCAGGACTTTGTAAGCACAAGACATGAATTTCTATTATGCCAAATCCCTGAGATTTCAGATTTTTCCTGTTACAGTTTCTGGCATAGTCTAAGTAATTCAGTGACAATAACAGTATTAGTCCCTTCTCATGCTGCTAATAAAGACGTACTGGAGACTGGATAATTTATAAGGGAAAGAGGTTTAATTGACTCACAGTTCCACATGGCTGGGGAGGCCTCACAATCATAGCAGAAGGCGAAAGAGGAGCAAAGGCACGTCTTACATGGTGGCAGGCAAGAGAGCATGTGCAGGGGAACTGCCCTTTATAAAACCATCAGATCTTGTTAGACTTATTCACTACCATGAGAACAGCATGAGAAAAGCCTGGCCTCATGATTCAATTACCTCCCACTGGGTCCCTCCCATGACATGTGGGGATTATGGGAGCTACAGTTCAAGATGAAATTTGGGCAGGGACACAGCCAAACCATATCAATAACCAAATAATTGACACATATATAGTGCTTCTATGTGCCAAATGCACTTTATATATATTAACCCAATTTATTCAAGTAAAAGAAATATGAGGTAGGTACTCTTATTATCCCTACTTAAAGATGAAGCACTGTGACTGTTACCTTGCTCGAGGTCATACAACTTGAGTAGTACAGACAGTATTTGAACCTGGGCAATCTAGCTCCAGAGACTACTCTACTGTATTTTATCATCAGAGGAGAAGACAAAATGTGGTCCCTTAATCAGGGGAGCATAGTAAGATTTTGGCCCATAAATGAGTTTCATAATGGCTGTGGGTCTTTCAGCCATGAACACCAGAAAAGAGAACGGAGGACCTGGCTCAGGGAAGTGGAGAATAGGGTCATAGTGTAGTTTAAAGGCAAAATAAATTAAGGTCTGAGCTTCTGGAGCCTTGAAAGAAGTGGAGGTAGGGGACGGATGGGCAGAGTAAGCAGTGCCCAGTACCCCAGATGAACCTCTCTGGAAATAGATGAGGAGGAGGCTCTTGCACTTAGAAGGTACTCCTTAGTGAGCCTCCCTTTGCAGAGGAGAGCAAGGTATGGAGAGGAGAGGTTGGGCAGGAGCTGGGACAATAATTTACCCAGCTGCTCTATGTCCATATTGATTTCTGACATTAAAAAATGCTGCAAGTACATCAGCACTGGTGTGAGGTGGCCTGAGACCTCAGGTGACCTAAGGACCATTTCTAAAAAAAACCCAAAGGGAAAAGAAAATTTGTCCTTTTCCTTTACTTTTTTGAAACTGTCAAGCAAAGAGTGATATCAAGAAGCCTGTCAGTACTGGTCCCTCATTCTAAGCGGACACTGTATGGCTGTTGCTGCTAATAATACTTTGGAGGAACTTCCTAAGGCAACAATCATGATTTGAAATTCTACTTTTCATGCTATTCCATCAGAACCAGCTTACTGTGGACACAAAGGAACTCACAGAAATTTTGATGAGGGATACCTGGAAGTTACTAAGTGGATTGTTGGAAAGGATTGTTCTTTCCACTAACATTTAAAATAACTCTTCATTTTTGTAGCGATTTAGACATAGATTCTGTAAGGCTAAAGATAAAAAATTTAACTTTCTTCCTTTTGATGTATATGCTCTGGAGTAACCTCACTATATTAATTCAGTCAGGTTTTATTGAGAACTTGTTATCAAGGTGTCAACAGCTCTGTGGGTCTTGGGGAGATGCTGTTGGTAAGGGGAGTGAGGCGGGGGTGGCTGCAAAGATTACACATGATTTCTTATGAAACTACTAATTTGATGAGGAAGACATGTATACGACTCATAAAATGAGTGAATAACAAGAAATTGAGGACAGGGAACATGCTGAGTGTGAGTTAAATGTTGAAGTAAACACTCTTTGGTTGTTCAAAACTGGTATTTATTTATTTTTTATGCTCCTCTTCACTATAATAATATATTCTTTGACCAACATCTCTTTGTCCTCTCCTCTCCTCTCCTCTGGTAGACAACATTCTACTCTCTACTTCGATGAGATCAACTTCTTTCGATTCCACATATCAGTGAGATCATGTGGTATTTGTCTTCCCATGCTGGCTTATTTCACCTAATATTCTCCAGGTTCATCTATGTTGTTGCAAATGACAGGATTTTGTTCTTTTTAAATGTCCAAAACAGACAAGTATTTAGAGACAGAAAGTAGCTAAGTGATTGCCTTGAGCCATGGGATGGTGGGGAGAGGATGGATAGGGTGGGGAGAGACTGGGAAATGAATATCAAGGGTAATGAGTTTGTTTTTCGAGTTATGAAAATGTTGTAAAATTGATTTTGGTGATGGTCGCACAACTCTGTAAACAATAACCAATGGGGTTTTAAAGGTTTAAATGGGTGAATTTTTTGATATGTGAGTTATATCTCAATAAAGATGTTTCTTTAAAAAATAAAAAAACTAAAGCAAGCAAACAAAAACTGGTATTTAGGTGTGTGTGGGGATGAAGCAACATGGGGACACTGGGGATGGGGTAGGTATGAAGAGTCATATTTAAACCTACCCAGTAGTGATCTCATTTCTTGTTGAAATGGGTCTAGTAACCTGGCACCAAGTAAACTGATTTAACTTTGGTAAACTGTTTCCCCTTGGGAAATTCCTGTGCAAATTATTATCAGTTCTTTAAGGAATTTTCACTTCCCTTCTACTAAGTGTGAGTGGAGTTCTGTGATTGACAGCAAGCTCATAAGCAGACACTATGTTTTGGGAAAGAATCCTGGTGAAGGTATATGCATTCTGACATTTCAAGGAGGACTTTGTGTGAGTTATCGCTGAGCACTCAATGGCTGCTGCATTTGTTTACACCATCCCTGAAGTATCAGTGTCAAATTCATTGTTTGTAAAGCTCTTTGGGATAATTTGTATATGACAGATTCCATATAAAACTGGTATTTATTCCATTTTGTATTATGCTTTTGGAGCCTGACACATAAGGGTACTTTTACATGCAGCATGCTGGAAATTAATTACTCAACTCCTATTAACACCACTGGGAACTGGGCTCCTGGCTTCTATCTGGGGCAGTGGAAAGGGCCTCACAGGTATGCAAGTAAATTGAAACAAAGACAGGGTAGAACTCAGATATTTATTCAGCTGTTGGAAGTTTTATGGGCAATAAGGCTACAAATAATGTGAGTTATTTTACTGAGCCTTTGCTGGAGAATTGGAGCTTAAACTACCCCCTTTATTTGTGGATGCTGTGTGTGTGTAAATAACAAAATGTCTGTTATCAGCATCTTGTTACCTGGAAATTCCTATTAATTGGCATAATTGTGATTCATTGAGGAAATGATGATATTAATCAGTATTATAAGCCTGAGACAGTGCAAAATCCTGTAGCCTCTTCAGAATCTGAAGAAAGACATTACATTGAGTCTTACTGGGTTTTGATGTTTATTGCTTTTGATTTCTTTGAGCAGAGATAATTCCTGTGACATACGTGGTGATTCCCTGAACAAAACATAGGATTATCCAAAAATATTATACATTTAGGTCATATTGAATGAAGGAATTCACACTAAAAGACAAACCAACACACATTTCATGATAACAGCATATAGCTCATGTTCTTTAAAGGTGTGCAAACTAATAAATTATGTTTGTCTTTATATATATGACATATACAATATATGATACATACATACCTATATAAAGATACGTACACATTCATGTGTATGATATTTTTGTGGCTCGTTTTTGACACTCAGCAAATCAAGATGGTGTTGGTTTGAAGCTTGCAAAATTATGGTCAGTCTTTTTTATTTGTAATCTAATTATTAGAAAACCTTTTGGTTATAATGAAAAATGATAATACAGCAGTCAGGTGGTATCAATGGACTATAGATAGAGACTGAGATGGATTTAAAGTTCTCATCTATCTTGTCCATGGTTTGATCCCTCAAAAGCCCTTCTGGGCATGTTGCACCCTTTGTGTTGGATACTGAAGTATGCACACAATGTGAGCTTCCCATGTCTCAGTGACTTTAAGGTAAGAGATTCTGATTTTCCCATCATGACCCTTGGAAAAGGAATTTAACTTATATAACTTGAAAGTTCACAGACCTCATCAGCATGTGGGTTTGAATGAGGTCACTTATTATTGATGCTATAATCACAATGGTTGTGTGACTTTGGGAAGTCATTTAACCTTTTAAAAACCTGTTAGCTCATCTGTAAAAGGAGGATAATAATAGGACCAACATCATTTTGTCTGCAGATTAAAGGAGATGATCCATGTAAAGCCTATAGCAAGTTGCCTAGTACATAAGAGCTTAAAAATAAATATTGCTAATAAAGACATTATCCTATTTATTGACTAGTTTATGCTGACTATTTTTAAAAAAGGATTTGAGGTGATAACCTTAATGTAAAAATAATACTCAAAATAAAAATAAATCCTCAAAATAAAAATAAAAACCAAAGGTAAAGTAGGTATTATATGTTAATTTTATTTATTTATTTCTAATGATGTTTCTTCAGAGCGAAATATCTGAAAAGAAAAAAGCAGTCATTAGAAGAGCAAGAGGTGTCAATATTTCAACTCAATTCAAATACATCTTTAAAAATTGAATCTTAAGAAGTGAACCATTTAATGTATCTTTAAAAAGTCACTCAATTTCTATATTTTGAAAATAGGTTCAGTTTTACTGTTCTTTCTTGTCTACAACATGACTAAAATATAGAGTTTTCATTTGCCTATCAGACAGAGTTGCTATCAGATTTTTGTAAATGATTCATTCTGTAGGAATGCTTTGTTCTGTAACAGGCAAGTGCTGAGGAAAACTCAGCAAGACTGCCTAGCTTGTTCTTTGAAAACTAGCACTTGATAAGAGTGTTAACTTGAGATGTAATTCCACTTAGTAAAGGGATCATTGAACAGAATGGATGCAATGATTACACCATAATTACACTGTAGCCATAATTATTTTGCAAAGAAAAGGTACATATAACAAATAAAGAAAATATTTAACCATGGGCATACAAAGGAAGAAAAATCTATTACTTAGAATGAGCAAAAGGTGAAAGGATTAAAATGTATGAAAATCAATGGAAATGAAAGCAGTTTGGAAATGTTTACATTGGAATAATTGGAAGAACAAGAAGTATCATTTATGATTTACCAATCATAGCAAGACTCTCTTGGACAGGATATTTTGTAAAGTAAAAATTAAGATGGTGGAGGGAGAAACATTTGTTGAATGAACAAGTCAATGAAAGCTAAATAAACTGAAGAGGCCAGAGACCTTTGAAAAGTAGACTGTGTTACCATGGGAAAACAACCAGAATTAAGACATGAATTCAGTATAAAGTTCATTTTATACTTTTTAATATATAAAGTGTTAAGCTAATTGCTTATATCTTCTCTTTAAGAACAAAATAAAGGGAAGAGTAAGCAATACTGACATTTGGAAAATAATTAGCAATGAAGACTTTACAAAAAGAGCTATTTGGTAATGGTGCAAAAGGGGAAATAGTGATCATTTACTTTTCAAGAGACAATCTATTGCTCTAGCACCATCAGGCATGGAAAGCTTTGTCTTTGGGGCTGGTACATAGCACTTGTGATGGGGCAGGGAAAGGTGAACTGCCTAATCAGCTGACTGATAAATGGATAATTTAATCTGAACAAGGAGGTCATGGTTTTTTAGAATCTTTAATGGTTCTTTTTTTATGACTATGACCATAAATCTCAAATACATTTCAAAATTTTTTTTTTTAGATGTGGGTCTCAATACATTTGCAAAGTACGTATAACATTTGGGTACTTCCTCGTTTAATTATTAGGGTTTTATTTGCAATTAGTTTCATTCCAAAGGAATAAGGAACTTTAAACCATGAGGGGACTGTGGTCTGTAGATGTCAAGGAATTAGTTGCCAATGGATGACTATTAGCTTCTAGAGTCTCCAGAGTCTTACCCACCTATGAAGTTCCCATTCCTTAAACAGGCATCACTTTCCCTGATCCCTGGAAGTTGTAACCTATTTCCAAAGGGAGCCATCTAGTCAGTGGTGGCAGTCACTTCTGCAGACCTGGTTAATGTTCATTATATACCAGCAGTTACCACATTCAATAAAGCCAACAGGATTTGTATCCCTAAAGCAATGACAGAAATGAGTTTACAGATATCTCAATTGCCCTGTGCCATGTGGCCATTACCCTTTAACTTTCTCAGACGAAGACCACACAGCTAACCTATATCTCATGAGGTCGAAGGTCTGGCAGCCCCTGAAAGAGGAAAAGCATTTCTGCTGCCTTCGTCTCCTCCATTTGCTGAGGCTGGGAGCCTGCAAAATTAGAGCTTCACTGTGGCTCCTTCTGGTGTGTGGTCGTTTTACAATTTGCCAATTTTTTGCAGTGCTTTGGATTGCTACAATCTTATCATTTTCAAAAACTCATCATTACTTGTTCTCTCAGTGTAGATCATTTGTAGTTATAAGGAAAACCTCCCTCTGCTTTTAATCTCACACTGGGGTAGGGTTTCACGTTTTACTTTTCAAGTGCACTTCCACAAAAGAGAAATAAATAGGATTCTCTCAAAACCAGAATGCTATCATAACTTTTTATCTCTTACCACTCTAAACTCAAGGGTGGGTTAAGAGGCATCTTCTTTTTCTCATACCAAATTACTATTAAATATAACTGCTGAGTTTGGATTGACCAGGCAAAGAGGCAAAGAAGCTAAAAAGAACTCTCAGATAGTCTGTGTCATCAACAAGGGCTTATACTAAACAGATAAATATTCCTGAAAGTGTAAAGCTACATCTTCAAAAATAACATATATATGTATACACATGTGTGTTTGTATGTATAATATCTATATGTGTGTATATATGTATGTGTATTTATGTGTCTATCATCTATCTGTCTACCGAATATACTTATTAATCTGAAGCTTCACTGAACAGGTGAAGGTTTTGAAATAAGCTATTACAATTCAGGTAACAACAATAACAGAATCAAAGTAAAGCAGACATGAGGGACTCCAAATAAAATATTTGGCCCTTTGCTGGAAGTTTCACTCTGGGAAAGCATAGCATCTAATCTGATGTGTTCTTTAGTTGCCTTGCAAAAATTAGGTCCTATTTATGAAGTTACAGCTACTGAGAAAACTGGGGTGTCTCTTTACTTTCATGGCTTTGACCCCATATATTTGCCCCACTCAAAAATTTGTTTTGGAGAAGTCTAGAGATGTCATAACACACAGAGAAAGAAATGTGTGTGTGTATATCAGGAAGATATAATGGGTCCCCAAGGTCCCCAGGAAAGAATTACTGTGGTCTGTTATTTTGATTAATAAGAAAGAATAGTCAAGAATTTGAAAATTAATGAAACTGTAGGGAAAATTACTTTTCATCCTAGAGTTTTAACGTGACAAAGGGCTAGAAAACTGAACATTATCGGATAAAATTTGGACTTTGTAAAGTAGATTTTTTAAAGCTCAGAGAAAATATAGGTATGAATCCCTGACCAAAGACTGTGAAAATTTAGCAACTTGTGTAAGATGAGAGGTTCTGTTAAGGAAAGTCTGATGACTTCAAATGATTGAAGGGTAGGGACCTTATATCCAACAAGATGGATGTAGCTGTCCAGGTCCCCTCAAATGAGCTCTGGTAATGCACTAAACATGGAGAGAAGGGCATGCCACCAATAATACAGTGGCATGATCTTACAGACTGGAACAGGGACTTGTGAAAAACACAAAAACAATACAATGTACTTAAAAAATGTTACCTTTTTACAAATATTTGAGAGATGCATAAGCAAAAGGAAACGTCTCTTGCTTTAAGCAGATATAATGATATTATAATAACTGGGAGAAAATAGAACCATTCACCTTCTACTTTGCATCTCCATCTGGAGAATAATTTTTGAAGTGGAGGTGGTATAACCAATATTATTGTGATGGAATTGAAGGTAGTGAAAAGCCAATCCCCCAGGTTGAGATGAGCAGCATAGAGGATGTTGTAATAACTTGCAGATTCAGTTTGACTCAGTGCCTATACAGTTCGTCTATGCCCTGGGTAGTCTGCTAAGCACAGAGAGATATTCAAAGGGAATGGGACAATCCAAATGCTTCTGCCACACGCCTGTTACCCACATGTTTGAGGTGTTCGTGGGAGATGGGAACTGGAATTGGGAAATAGCAGCTGTTTGCCCTTGTGGATAATTGGTAATCTGTTGTTTATAAATCAGAGGCTGGCTGCCTTTGCCTATAAAACTCCCTGGTCTTTCTGGTAATAAATTACATCCATTCTTGTGTCCGTATTGTTTAGTAAATTCAGTAGCTTTAAAAATTTCTGTCACAGGCAGAATTTTGTATTTTTGTTATCAACACCATTATGTTCAGATGTATTGTGTTATAGACATGATTTTGAAGACGCCAATTTTTCCCCTATTTTTACTTCTATTTGGACAGAAAAGTCTAAACTGTAATCTTCAAGAATCCAAGTTAAATGGCCTAGAATCATAGTTTGGTTATTCTGATTGGCCATCAAATTGATTTCTTCATTCTAGGTAAAGATGACCCAAGAAGCAAAGGGAACTCAGGAAACAATGACATTCTTCAATTCTTCAATTCAATAGCTAACCAGCTAGGAAAAGCTCCATGTCCAGTTAAACTAAGAAGGTGTCATACGAGTGTAGAAAACAATGAATAAAACAGTGCAGAAAAGCAGAGGCCATTGAACTTCATATCTCTGCCCAGCTGCAGCATTACTCAGAATTTACGAGTGTGCCAGCCTTTGCACCTTCAAAACATTTTCCCAAGTATTTTAGGATTCTCACATAAATATTGCTGTAGTAAGTATCATCAACATTTACTAGCTGTTTTTCAAGAATAGCCAAGTGACATTGTTATGGTCTGTCATCAAACCAGGGGAGGTGTGGAGGAGGCCAAAATTGATCATTGCAGATAAGGATGATGTTTATACAGATATGCACAGAAGAGTTTATGCCAAATAATGTGTATATTTTTCAATATATTAGCAGTATATCAGAGTTTCCTGTTTGCTTGTGGTAGGGTGCTCTTCATACATTCCATCCAAATATCCCTAATGAGAGACAGGAGTGAATTATATTTACCACAAAGGTATTTTTTTTTTGAAGTCTTGTACTTATTTTTAAAACTTGTGGGGCCAGGAATGGTGGCTCATGGCTGTAATCCCAGCACTTTGGGAGGCTGAGGCAGGCAGATCACCTGAGGTCGGGAGTTTGAGACCAGCCTGATCAACATGGAGAAACCCCATCTTTACTAAAAATACAAAATTAGCTGGGCATGGTGGCACGTGCCTGTAATCCCAGCTACTTGGGAGGCTGAGGCATGAGAATCTTTTGAACCCGGGAGGCGAAGGTTGTGGTGAGCCGAGATCACACCATTGCACTCCAGCCTGGAGAACAAGGGCAAAACTCCATCTCCTTTTGTTCTTGTTCATTTCCTGGCTGTCTTAAGAAATTATCAGCAGTTCTCATACTTAAGTGCATATAAGGATCACCTGGAGTGTTTGTTAAAAATGTGGTTCCCTGATCTCTATATTCACCCCTTTCCTCTTGATCCTGATTTGGTGAGTGTAAGGTAGGATCTGGAAATAAATATCCCAGGTGAATGTTTCTGTTTAGGTGACCCAAGTACCATGCTATGAGATACGTGGCTCTAAGAAGCAACCTTGGAATGTTCTGTTACCTCACTTTGAGAAGCACCTTTTTAAAGACACTAAGAGTATTCACCGTAGAGATGAATAATCCACTCTTCAGGTTTCTTGGTCATTCCTGCAATTCAGTCAGTGTGGACTCAACTCTCTTACAAGTCTCAAGTTCTCTATCTTCAGTGTTTTTACTAGAGGCATTCCTTTAGCCAGTCCCTATATTTGATCAACTCATCTTCAAATTCTATTGGTTCTTCCAGGCTCTCAAATGCTGCCTTTCCCACAAAGAGTCTGTCTTTTCTGTCTCATTCAGTTCACCATGACTTTTCTCCTGAGCTCTCTCTTGATCCTTGTCTTGTTTATATACATGTCGTATTCCTCCTAATTGAGCCTATGTTCCACAAGAGGAGTCCATGTCAGATAAGTCTCTAAGCCTCTAGCAGTACCCACCATGTTCCTTTGAATGCAATAGCTGCTCAATAAATGTTAATGGAAAGGGTGATTCTATGAGAAAAGGCTACTATCTGGAGTTGAGAAGGACACAAAACCAGAAAAAAACAATAGCTGTTACTTAATTCTGTTAATGTGGTGATTAATAGGAGCACATTTCTTAAGTGGAAAGAAAATCCAAAAATGAGTATAGCAGTGATGCAATGAAAAATGAGTGTTTAGACCCATAGATTGTACAATACAAAAAGTAAACCCTGATGTGAAGTATTGAATTTAGTTAATGATTATTTGTCAATATTGCAACTAATGTATTGCAAGATGTTAATTACAGGGGAAACTTAAAAGGGAGGAGTTTGAAGGGTTATGTGAGAACTCTGTACATTCTACTCAAATTTTTCTGTAATCTCTTAAAATAAAGTCTATTAATAAAAACATAAAAAATAAGTAGTAATAAAAAGAAAAGGGAAATGAGTAAGCTGAAATGATAAGAAATTAATGTAATGAATAAAATTCAACCCGGGCTTGTGAAAAAGTAGGAAAGCAGGGCCTGGCTTGTTATGGTTGGGAATACTCTTTCATGATTGTTTATACACAACACTTCTAAAGAATTCTTTGAACTCAGCTTTATCATTAGTGAAATGAGGTTTTCCCATTTAGAAACATATGATAAAACACAATTATCAATAAGCAAGCATGAATTTTATAATAAAAAATGTCCCAGCACTTTGGGAGGCCGAGGCCGGTGGATCACCTGAGGTTGGGAGTTCGAGACCAGCCTGACCAACATGGAGAAACCCGGTCTCTACAAAAAATACAAAATTAGCCGGGCGTGGTGGCACATGCTTGTAATCTCAGCTACTTGGGAGGCTGAGGCAGGAGAATCACTTGGGAGGTGGAGGTTGTGGTAAGCCGAGATTGCGCTATTGCACTCCAGCCTGGGCAACAAGAGCGAAACTCCGTCTCTCTCTCTCTCTCTCTCTGTCTATCTCTATATCTATATCTATATCTATCACACACACACACGCACACACAAAAAAGTCCAAGAATTCACCTTGTTACAAATTGGAATGTAACTGTAAATATCTATATGTATATTTATAAGGGCAGAGGTGAAACAGAGCTGTAGGGAGGATAAATTCTACCAAGGAGTTTAAAGAATACTTTCCTTGGACTAAGGAGTCGTGCTATAGCATCAACCATTCATGGTTTGACAATGAGTGATGAGAGAGAGAGGAGAGAGAAAGCAGGCTTCTTACAGCTGGGCTCACACATATTCAGCAGCTCATTTTAGAGGGAAAAAATAACAATTTTCAATTTATGAACAGTGTAAGTATCTAAATGATTCAATGTAGAATATCATATTGCCAACTCCCTGAGAATTATGCAGTCAGCACAATTTGCAAATTTGAATTGTTTTGTTTTAACCTTTATCAGGGTTCTCCGTTCTCCATTTAGTGTTATAGCAATCCAGGATCTTCCTCTATTTTGTTGCTAAGCCATTTTCATGTACATTAATATATATATAAAATTATATATACTTCATATGCATTTCTCTATCAATAGAAAAGAGAAGTTTGCACCTAGTGTTTCTATTTAGCTTTCTTCCTTCATTGATATGGAGAATACCATTTATAGTTTCATAAGTGTGGTTTATGTCTATGCTTGAGCAAGGTAAGGTTGTTGTATGTGCTCTCAGAGCAAAAGATCTGGATGTAACTGGTTCAGGCCAAATCTTTTCGGAAACCTGCTCAGCACCATAGTGCAGTGCGTGCTTCTCAAACTTTAATGTGTTAAAAAATCCATCTAAAATGCAAATTCTGATTTGGTAGGTCTGGGGAGGAGCCTGAGATTCTGCATTTCTAACAGATTTCCTGCTGATGCCGATGCTGCATAGCAGGGGGAGAGGGGAGCCGCCTCTTGCCTGCTGGATGACTTGTATCTAATCGGATCCTTTTTTTTCTTTTTACACTTTATAGTAAGCTGTGGATATTCCAGAGATGAGAGAAAGTCTGAATTTTTTTTTCACTGATCCTTTCTGATACTCTAAGGACTTGTCTCCCACCTTCTGTCTATGAGGCCGGTGGGTATGAGTTTGCATGAACACCTCTGAATGCCATATATGCTACAGCCTATAAAGCATGTAAAAGAGATCTTGTGTAGTCAGGTAATAAATACGATAATCAGAGGGAAGACGTCTCTCCTTTCTCAGAAAGACACATTAAGGGCTGCAAAACTGGCATTTGGTTATTTTAAGTGCCAATGAGGTGTTCTTCATGATTATTTTTAAAAAGGTAAAGTGATGATCAATTGGTAATTAAAATAGACATTTTTATGTGTTTAGAGATGATTTCTCAGTGGTCCATCCCTGAAGAATCTTCTGCCCCCCTGCAAATTTTCACATGATTTCATGACTAAGCTCTTTACAGAGAATATAGAACACCTCATATGGCTATTTCTTCTGTAAATGCCTTTAGCATAAACTGATCAATGAATTCATAAAGATTGTGCAAAATTTCAAATTTTTCTGCCGGATGAATGATTCAATTTGCAGAAGCACTTTGCTGAGGAGCTAAAGTTAGGGTAGGCAAGGGGTGGGGAGAGTGAGAATAATGGGAAGGAAAAGGTAGCTTCAGCTGGGGGAATTCACTCCAGAGGAGGAAAATGTGTTCTGCTCTCCAACCTTGCAGGTAGCATGTTTGGCTGCCACAGGAACACATTATTTGTTCTTTTTCCCTGACACTGAACTAAAGAATGCATTGTGGGAAAACCCATCCTGACATATGACACAGTGCAAAGGAAGATCACAGCGTGAGGCAGCATCAAGGGGTTGACACGGCCTTGATGCACTCAGGCACAGCACGGGGTCGCCAGGATGAGTGGCTCTTCCAACGGAAGCCCGGGTACAATTTGCACAATTCTCCTGAGAGCTCTCAGTGAAGCCCCAAGCCCCTGTAAACTGGGCCAAAGAGGAGAGCAAAGACCCTGCCCCCCGCCTGGAGACACACAAAGGGAGGCATTTCGAAAGGGGCTTAGTTAAAAGGAGAAAAAATTATACACAAATATTAGAGGAAAATTGGAGTGGATTTTTAAAAAGAGTCTAACAGGACAAGACCAAAGGGGATGGAAAGAAAATCGAAAGTGTGGGGAACTGGATAGGAGAGCACATATCAAAGTGATGTGTTAAACTTTTCTCTCTCTCTCTTTTTTTTTTTTCTTAAAAGAGAAAGACCCTTGGAAATGCTACAAGTGAACCTGATCTGTTTTGGTGAAAAAATTTTCTTTTCTTTCACTCCCTTGTAACTTTTTAGCAGTTTCCTATGTCCAAATGGAAGTTTGCATTTTGTAAAAAAGAGAAAACCCAGCAAGCCCAATCAGTGTTTCTTTCTATTATGTCTCTGAGCAAAAGACCCGCCTCCACCCATTCTCCCTTGTTGCTCCTGCTTATCATAATATGCCACATTTTGTTCATCAAATTTACATTTCAAAATTTCCATATTGCTGCCATACATTAATTATTAATCTTTCACCAATCCTTCTGTAGAAGCATTTTAAACTTTGATTTCACTATCCAGTCTGAGGAAAATAAGCTTTAATCATGACCCCTTTCTAGAGGATGCTTTCCTTTCCTCATCCTATGAAGAATTTACCTTATACATGTGCCAGACAAGTATTTAGAAAAATCTCATAGGTTTTAAAAAGCAGACTAGGAAATGTTTGAGATTAAGAATAACTCTTGTTTTCCAGAGCCATTGAAAGCTCTTTTGAACAATTCTAGGTTATGTTACGAACAAGGATTTTACTTAGATTTAATGAGGGTTACCGTAGTAGAAACTGAACCAATTTTATTTTTAGTCCATTGAATACCTGCCTACTTACTCAAGTCAACCAAAACTGTCAGATCAATTGTAAGAGTGGACCCTACTTTTATTGGAGCCTTGCCTCTGCTTGTAACCCTTGAGGTTGCCTTAGTGTTGTTTATCGACTTCATTTCACATTCAATAAAAATAAATAGATCGAAATTATCATTTCAAGTTATATTTCAACATGACTTCTTCATGGTTATGATATTTTTCGAATTTATTTCTGCCTCTAAAATCAGCTTACTAATTATAACAGCTGTTTTAAATATTTTAGTTAGGTTATGTACCTCTTTAAGAATTTGATAAAAACTAGAAGGAGGAAATGTCTATATGCTTTCTTCATGCTATTTCAGGGAATTCAGGGGGCCCCAAAAGATTACGCAGAGATCTTTTAAGGTTCTTGGACTTTAGATCGAGAACTCGTGTTAGTGATACAGAAGTTCCTGAATTTTACTGTCCCCTTTCTGGCCTCTATTCCCATGAATCCCAGCTGAAGCCTGTGTTGTGTTTAGTATCACATATAAATGGTCCTGAAATAAAATCCATGTCAGCTTCTTAGTTTGGTGGCTATGCAGAATTTTGTATGTCAACTCTTACTGCTTGGTATTGCAGCTGAGTTTACGTGGTGCTATATTCTACTGTGGTCCTCCTGATTTCACCTTTGCTGTTAAGCAGTGTGTTTGATTTTGCAAACTACAGGAGGGGCCTCAGCTCATGGGAGAAAAAACACAAGAGCAGGAGACAGGTGACATGGCTCTTGCATGTTGTTCTTGCTACGACATAACTGTGTGACCTTGAGTAAGTTGCTTTATCTCTCTGGGCTTCAGTTTTCTAATAATAGCTATTAGTTATTGAGTCCATGCTATGTGTTGGCTAAATACCTAACATATATCCTGTCACTTACTCCTTACAATTACCCTAACAGACAACTTCTGTTGGCCTCAGGTTATAATTTAGAAAAACTGAGATTTGGAGAGGTGAAGGGGGCATAGCCAGAATTCAAACTAAGATAAGTCCAATTGAAGAGTCCAAGCTTAGTTACTTTCTTACTCTCTGTTCTATACAGCTCACTGTGTAAAATGAGGCAGTGGGACTTGAAGCCAACTTGAACGTTCCACAAGTCTATAAGAAGTCACTGGGAGCCATATTGATTAGTAAATATTCTAATCCCCTTTTTTTTAGATCTTAGAAACAACTTTATTGAGGTATAATTGACATACAAAAACTTCCCATATATAAAGTGTATCTTTTGGTGAGTTTTGACCTATGTACACACCTATGAAGCCATCATCACAATCAAGATAATGAACATACCCATCACTTCATAAAGTGTTCTTTTGCCCCTTCTAGTGCTTCCCTGCACCTCCTCCAAAGCTACTTTCCGTCATCTACTTTCTGTCACTATGGATTAACTTATATTTTCTTGATTTAAAAAAAAAATTGTGGTATCTCATTATAATTTAATTTTCATTTCCCCAATGAGTAATGATGTTTGGCTTTTCATATTTCATGTTTTCATGTGCTTATTCACCATCCTCGGAGAAATGTCTGTTTAAATCTTTTGCCCATTTTAAAATTGAATTGTTGATCAAATTATGAGAGGTCTATATTTTCAGAATATAAGTCATTTATTAGATAAAGGACTTTAAAACATTTCTCATAGTTTGTGGCTTGAAGAATCTTTTGCACGACAGAAGTTTTTAACTTTGATAAAGTCCAATTTATTGATTTGTTCTTTTATGGATCATGTTATAGTTGTATCTAAGCATTTTTTGACTAACGGTCACAAAGGTTTTCTTCTAGAAGTTTTCTAGTTTTAGCCTGTTCATTTAGGTCTGTGATTCATTTTGAGTAAATTTTGTGTACAGTATGGGATATAGATCGAATTTCTTTTTTTTGTATATGGATATCCAATTTTTCCGACAATATTTGTTGAAGAGTCTATTATTTCCTTACTGAATTGTCTTTGCACATGTTTCAAAAATTAGTTGTATTTGTATGTGCAGAGATCATTTCTGGACCCCATTTTGTTTCATTGATTTGTCTGCTTTGGTATCAATACCAAACTGTCTTGATTACTATAGCTATAAAATAACTCTTGAAATGAGGTAGTGTTAGTATCCTAATTTTTCCTTTTTCAAAATTATTTTGGGTATTTTTAGGTTTATTAAATCTCCATATGAATTCTTTGAGGTCTACTTTGTCTGATATTTACTCACTGAGTGATACTCAGTTTTATTTTGATTACTGTTAACATAGTGTATCATTTCAATTCCTTTACTTTGAACCTATTTGTACATTTATATGAAAAGTATATTTATTATAGGGATTGTATAGTTGAGGATTGCCTTTTTAACCAATTGGAGAACTAAACAAATATATACATATTCATATTGTGTAAATGGACTAAGCATCTCAATTACAATTTTAATTTTTGCATATGAATGTGGGTGCTTAGGCCATTTACACGTAATGTGGATATTTGTGTATTTAGATTTAACTCTATCATCTTGCCATTTGTTTTCGGTTTTGTCCTGTCTGTTCCTTGTTTTCTTTTTCTCCTTTATCTGTCTTCTTTTGGATTAGCTGAATTTTTTTAATCATTCTATTTTACCTTTTTTGTTGGCTTATTAGATTAACTATTTTAGTTCTCAATCTAGGGTTTATAGTATACATATTTAATGTATAATATGTCTATCTTCAAGCCACATTGTATCACTGAATGTATAGTAATAAACACCTTATGATAATACCATTTTCCACCTACAGATCTTGTGCTGTTGTTGTCATATATTTTACACACACACACACACACACACACACACTAAACCATATACTCCATTGTTACTATTTTTGTTTAAACAATCAGCTATGTTTGAAAGAGATTAAGTAATAAGAGACAAACATGTTTATCCATGGCGTTACAATTTCCTCTGCCCTTTATTTCTTTATGTAGATCCCTCTTTTCATCTGGTATCATTTCTCTTCTTTCTGAAGGATTTCCTTTACATTTTTTTGTCAATGAGAAATTGGTTCTCATCTTTATCTTTGTTCCCCTGTATATAACATGTATTTTTCTCTGGCTGCATTCAAGATTTTCCCTTTATCACCATTTTTGAGCAAGTTGATGATGATGTGTAATTGTATAGATTTCTTGAATGTTTCCTATGCTTGGGGTTCTGTGAGTTTCCTTGATCTGTGAGATTATTGTTTTTAATCAAATTTGAAAAAACAATGGCCAGTATTTCTTTAAATTTTTTTTATGTCTTCCCTTTTAATTATACGCTTAAAGTTGTCCCACAGTTATCTGATGCTCTCTTCATTGTTTTGGCTCTCTTTTTCTCTCTGCATTTCATTTTAGAGATTTTTTAAATTACTATTTCATTTTGGATAGTTTTTATTACCATTCCTTCAAGCTCAACAGTCTTTTATTCTGAAATCTATAATCTAAGACTATACCCAGTGCATTTTTTATTGAACACATTGTAATTTTTATTCTACAAGTGTGATTTAGGTCTCTCTATTTCTAATGTCTTTGTATGTTAATTCTAACACCTATGTTAGATTTATGGATTTTTCTCCTCATTATGAGTCATATTTTTCTCTTTCTTTGCACACTGGGTGCTTTTTGATTGGATGCCAGACCTTGTAAATTTTAGCTTATTAGGTGCTAGATATTTTTCTATTTCTGAAAAGAGTCTTACATATATTCTGGGATGCAGTTATATTATGTGGAACAGTTTGATCCTTTTGGGACTTTCTTTTTATTTGTTAGATGGGTCTGGAGCAGTGCTTGGTCTAGGGCAAATTATTCCTCACTACTAAGACAAGACCTTTTCATGTACTCTACCAAATGCATTGTGGACTGTGAGGTTTTCCAGGCTGGCTGTGGGAACAGGGACTATTCCTGATCCTGTGTAAGCTCTGGACACTGTTAACTCTAATCCTTTCACTTGATTATTTCCTAGACAGCATGTAGTTTTCTTATGCACATTCATGGATAGTTACTCACTGTATTCTCAAGGGGACCTCCCTGCTAATTTTGGAAGCTCTCTGTTTTTATTTAGAAGCTGTATTTATGCAGGACAGTGAGATTTGAAAGATGTATATGCTTTCTATAGATGGAGAGGAGACTACAGAGTATTGAGGCAGGAGAGTTCCCAAACACATGATGCAGCAGCCAATAAGAACCACCTAAAGGAATCCCTCCTGGAGACAGTGAGAAGACTCATTCAATTCGAACTGAAGTTGCTTGTGGTGTGAAAGAATGTGGTGGTTTTGGAAAGGTAGGCTAATGCCTCTTATGAGGGCATTTGACCCAAAGCAATGAAGACTGGAGCCAAGCATGTCTCTTTAACTAATGTGTCTCGAGGGTCTAACTGTGTTAAAGTGCTGGACAGGAGGTAGACACAGACATCTGAGTTTCTGTTCCAAGGAGCTCATCTTTAGTGCAGACTATACAGTTGGAGCAAAGCACAGATTCAAGAGTTTTAACTTTATTCCTTAAAGAGTAGGGATCCACTGACTACTTTTGAAAAGCAGCCTGATGAAATGCAGGTCATGGTTTAGGAAAAATTTGGCAGTTGCATGTTATGTGTACAGGATAGGGAAGAGCCTGGAGAAATCAGCAAGGAGAACATTTCAGAGTTCAATGTGAAAAACGCGGATGGAGATGGTGGGGGTGGGCAAGGAAGTGGAGGTATCCAGAAAAATGAGTGGACTGAATATGGAAAAATACTTTATATGCAAGGTGAAGGCAGGAAGGAGTCGAGGATGACTTGAAGGCTTTGAGGAGACTTGATTGATAGAATGCTGGTACCAGGAATACAAATAATGATGGCAGAGAGGAGCTTGTTTCAAAGTAAATATGACAAATTCATTTTTAGGTGTTTGAGTTTTGAGGTGACAGTGGTATACAGAAGTAGATATGTACAGCTGTTGTTTGAAAATATGGTATTATAAGGAAAGTTCAGGGCTCAGGATATAGATTTGAAGGCCACCAAATGAAATTACAGTTTAATTCATTCATTTATTTACCAAGTGATTGGTATGAACAGTTTATCAGATGCTGAGCTCAGTTCTGGGATGCAAAGACACAGAAGTGCCATCTCTATCCTTGAGGAGCAGGTAAACGCTCGATGTAATACAGTCTGGTGAGAGCTATGCTTGTGGTAGAATGGCAGCACAACGGGGTGACACCCAGCTCAGAGTAGGGAGTGCTGGGAAAGCTTCCTGGAGGAGGTGTCACCTGAGCTGTGTTTTAGAACAAGTAGGGGTTAATCAAGCAGAGAAACAGGTACAGGGCATTAGAGGCAGAGTGGACAGCATGTGAAAAGGTACAGAAGCAAGGGAGAGCATGGCATATACGGGATCTGGTTGGAGTGCATGCATGTGAGGGAGAGAGAAAGATAATACTGCAGGGGGAGGCAGGAGTTGAATTATGAATGGCCTTGTAGGTTGCTTGTAACTTTGGGCTGCCATGTAGTACATCCACATGGAGATGCCCAAAGCCAGTGGGTACCATCCTGTGGGTGACGGGTTTTCTGGCCAATTTAAACTTGAAAGCAATGTGATCAGATGAGAAATTTAGAAAGACTGCTCTGGCAGTGGTGTGATGCAGTGATTGGAAGGGCTAAAAGCTGAATTCAGGGGAACTAGTTATAATTCCACTTTAGTTATGAAGGTGGAATGAAGAGGGTCTGAATGAAGGCAGTGTCAATGGGAAAGGAGAAAAAAGGATAGTTAAAAAGTTAAAGAATTTTAATAGGCAGAATTTCATGACAGATCAAACTGAAGAGATTTGAATTTGGAGTTTATTAGCTTGCAAGTGTTTTGAATCACTCAAAGGAAAGAGCTGTCCCAAGGAGCGTAGTGATAAAAATAAATGGAGTCTATTTAAGTGGCAACCCTAGATATCCCAATCCTGAGATTCCTGCGGCTTGATAGGCTTC
Source organism: Homo sapiens (assembly GCF_000001405.40). Classification (NCBI taxonomy): domain Eukaryota; kingdom Metazoa; phylum Chordata; class Mammalia; order Primates; family Hominidae; genus Homo; species Homo sapiens. The sequence continues at coordinate 98,709,597 of NC_000006.12, read as the reverse complement.
TGAGGAAGAAGATGTGAAGAAAGATATGAAGATGGGGGAATGGAATTAGGTGGAAATTGGCATTTAAGAGGGCAGGAAGAGGACAGGAATTAGCATGGGGAATAATAGAAAGAAAATAAAGAGGGCATAATGTCATAGAGGCTCACCAAGAATCTCAGTAGAGAAAGCCTAGTCAGCAGTGCTGTTGAGAAGGATAACTGAATGGATAGCACCTTTGGGGCATTAGAAAGTCCCAGGTGACTGCAAACAAAGCTGTTTCAGTACAATGTGAGACAGCAAGGCTAATAATCCAGAGTGGGACTGAGATTTTGAGGAAATGGATTTAGTAGGTGTAGGTGAGACCAGTTACATGATGCTGAGCCTCCAGTGCGTGTAGTCACCTGAGATATAGCAGAATCTCACATCTTGAATTTAGTTCTGATAGTTTACCACCTATGAATACTGCAGTAGAACATGTGCATAATGGCATTTTCTGTAATATTAAGCATATATACCAAAAACATTTTAGGGAAAACAATCATAAAAGATAAGAATAAACACCCTCAAGGAATTGAATAGAGTTTAAATATGACCTTGCATCATCAATCTTACTTTCTGAACTATGATAGCCCATAGTTCCTGTTTCTTTTGATACTGCATTTTATCATTTCTTGGTCTCATGACAGAAACTTTTCTAAGCTGAAAAATCCCTTCTGTGCTCTTTATCATGTTAGTTGACTTCCTGACTTGTTGTGAAGCCTGTTCCTTCTATGTGAAGCAGCAGATCAGAGGCTGTTGAAAGCCAGGTGGGATGGGAGGCCACAGAGTCAAAGCTGTGTTTCCACATTGTAGCTGGGGATGCTTAGCAGACACCCAGACTGCGCCAGCCCAAACACTCGAAGAAGCTCTTTCTGACCACATGTTGGCCAGCAGCCTTCTTGCCCTGTAATCTGCTTTCATGTAGATTTTCTTTTTCTTAAATTTTACTTTTTTCCTCTGTTGCAATCTCATACCCTGAGATTTTCAGTGATGTGAAAAAGCCGATATAAAAAAATTTGTCTATAGACTGTTTTGCAGTTTAGTCTTTTTATATACTTGATCTCATTTGATCCTCAAAAAAAGTTCTGTAAAGAAATCACTTTATGTTGCATAATAAGTAGAAAATACACTAAAATTAAAAAAAAACTACTATTGTTTTTTATCAAGACTGTTCAGTAAGAAATACCTGACCCAAGTGCATTGTCTGAATCTAATGCTGGACTGTCAGTGGAGATTAGGAAAGAGCACACGAAAATCTTTTCATGTGTTTTTTGGCTGCATAAATGTCTTCTTTTGAGAAGTGTCTGTTCATGTCCTTCACCCACTTTTTGATGGGGTTGTTTGTTTTTTTCTTGTAAATCTGTTTGAGTTCATTGTAGATTCTGGATATTAGCCCTTTGTCAGATGAGTAGGTTGTGAAAATTTTCTCCCATTTTGTAGGTTGCCTGTTCACTCTGATGGTAGTTTCTTTTGCTGTGCAGAAGTTCTTTAGTTTAATTAGATCCCATTTGTCCATTTTGGCTTTTGTTGCCATTGCTTTTGGTGTTTTAGACATGAAGTCCTTGCCCATGCCTATGTCCTGAATGGTAATGCCTAGGTTTTCTTCTAGGGTTTTTATGGTTTTAGGTCTAACGTTTAAGTCTTTAATCCATCTTGAATTGATTTTTGTATAAGGTGTAAGGAAGGGATCCAGTTTCAGCTTTCTACATATGGCTAGCCTGTTTTCCCAGCACCATTTATTAAATAGGGAATCCTTTCCCCACTGCTTGTTTTTTCTCAGGTTTGTCAAAGATCAGATAGTTGTAGACATGTGGCATTATTTCTGAGGGCTCTGTTCTGTTCCATTGATCTATATCTCTGTTTTGGTACAAGTACCATGCTGTTTTGGTTACTGTGGCCTTGTAGTATAGTTTGAAGTCAGGTAGTGTGATGCCTCCAGCTTTGTTCTTTTGGCTTAGGACTGACTTGGTGATGCGGGCTCTTTTTTGGTTCCATATGAACTTTAAAGTAGTTTTTTCCAATTCTGTGAAGAAAGGCATTGGTAGCTTGATGGGGATGGCATTGAATCTGTAAATTACCTTGGGCAGTATGGCCATTTTCACCATATTGATTCTTCCTACCCATGAGCATGGAATGTTCTTCCATTTGTTTGTATCCTCTTTTATTTCCTTGAGCAGTGGCTTATAGTTCTCCTTGAAGAGGTCCTTCACATCCCTTGTAAGTTGGATTCCTAGGTATTTTATTCTCTTTGAAGCAATTGTGAATGGCAGTTCACTCATGATTTGGCTCTCTGTTTGTCTGTTGTTGATGTATAAGAATGCTTGTGATTTTTGTACATTGATTTTGTATCCTGAGACTTTGCTGAAGTTGCTTATCAGCTTAAGGAGATTTTGAGCTGAGACAATGGGGTTTTCTAGATATACAAT